>NC_000013.11:86050138-86202979 GCF_000001405.40 Homo sapiens
AAAAAAAAAAGAAAAGAAAAAGCTACACGAACATTAATGGTATCTATTGTTCATCTTCTATATATATATTTCTCTTATTGCTTAAAATTATATTTTGAAACTGTTTTATTTCCTCGACTGTCCCACTAAATGACCTCAAGAGAAAAGAAAATCTTTATGAGTTTTGTTATTTGATACCCCAGGGGATAATCGGATGCATATTTGAAAAAATGAATATTTTTAAAGTAAACTACAACAATTGTTTTCTAAATTTTTTTCATTAATAAGGTTAATTCTCTATATTTTATTAATCTAAAAATAATAAATATGCAAATATATTCATAGGAAAACATTAATAAGTATTAAGGATTGCAAAACATGCTACTTATAAATTACTCTTAACTATTTTTATTTATTGAGTACAATTTTCCACATTTAATTTACATATGAAATATACAAATTACTAGTTTTCATTAATGTATGCTTCACAATTCACTAATTTGTCACTTCATTTACCTTACTTTGTATCAATATATTTAAATTTAGATGGAAAAAATGCCAGATAAGAAGCAAGACTAGCTTGCAGCTCCCACTCAGACAGAACAGTGTGTGAAGGCTCATCTTGTGAACTTTTGCTCCAAGAACTGCCACAGAAATGTTTGAGAAAAACTGAAAGAATTCACAGACCCTTTGAAAAAAGCTGCTTACTGCTGCAAACTCTGATTGATAGACAACCAAAAAGCACACAAAGTGTGAGAGGTGGAAAGTCTGCCTCTGAACATACATCCTCACGAGGGAGCCTGAAAAATCCAGATCACATGGGAGGGATTTAACCTTACCTAGAGCTGAAATGAATTTAGGGAGTCGAGCAAAATATAAAAGTAGAAAAATCAGTGGAAAGAGCCCTGGAGGCACTCCCGGTCCCCAGGGAAGCCATTTCTGACTTTATCTTACAGGGGTTTTTGGGGAGAATTGCCAGTAGAATTGGAGAAAGACCACAGGGAAGAGGAAACTTCCAAGTGAACTTTGTAATAATTTTGACCAAGCGTGAATTTTCCAGGGCAGAATCTAGGAGTGGGAGGGCAAACAGTAAGTATAGATAAAAGCAAAGAAGTCACAGCAGAAAGCAGGTGAAGCCTTGAAAGTCCTCCTTCCTTTCTCAGTGGGGAGGCTATTAGTCTGGGACAAGTTCCCAGCCCTGCTCACCAGCTGCCTGGATATAAACTCGGCTGCTGGGGGAGCACAGTGAAAGTGAGACTGGCCTTTCCAGCTTTGTGGGAGCTGGGTGAGGCCTGTCTCTGCCAGCTTTTCTCCACTTCCTTGGTGACCTGTAGGACATAGAAGAGGCATCCATAATCCCCTGGGAAAAACTCCATTGTCCTGAAAAAGACACCTCCATCCCCCACAGTGGCTGCAACAAGCCCCGCCCAATGAGAGTCTGAGCCCAGACACACCTAAACCTGCTCCCACCTGATGGTCTTTCTCTACCTGCGCTGGTAGCCAGAGACAAAAGATAGACTCTCTTGGGAGCTCTAGGGCCCTGCCCAACACCTGATTCTCCTTATACTACTGCAGCTGATGCTCTCTTGAAGGTTCCACCTTTTGGCTAGTGGCCAGCCAACACAAACCATTACAGTGACTCATAATAGAACAACCTGCCCCAAGAAAGGAGTAAACAACAGCTAACTCCACCGCTTGTAACATTCTGGCTAACAAGAAGTCCTCAGTCTGTCCACATGACAACTTTACTGCCAGCACAACCAGCATTTGAGAAAAACAGCACACTAAGCAAAACTAGAACCAAGGTCCCACACAGAGTTTGCCTCACTCCTCTGCTACCTTCACCAGAGCAGGTGTGCTGGTGTCCATGACTGAGAGACCTGAAGACAGATCACATCACAGGACTCTTTGTAGACACTCCCCAGTACCAGTCCTAAGCCCAGTAGCTCCATGGGGTGGCTGGACCTGGAAGAGAAATAACAATCACTGCAGTCTGGCTCTCAAAAAGCCCCAGCTTGAAGGGAAGGGGGACAGCATCACATCAAGGTAGCACCCTGAGAGACAAAATAATCTGAACAGCAGCCCTTGAGCCCCAAATCTTTCCTCGACATAGTCTACCCAAATAAAAAGGAACCAGAAAAACAATTATGGTAGTATGACAAAACAAAGTTCTTTAACACCCCCGCAATATCACACTAGCTTACCAACAATGAATCCAAACCAAGAAGAAATATTTGAAATGCCAGAAAAGGAATTCAGAAGGTTGATTATTAAGCTACTCAAAGAGGCACCAGAGAAAGGTGAATACCAACTGAAAGATATTTTTAAAAATATTACACGATATGGATGGAAAAATCTTCAGCATATATAAAAATAGCATATATGTAAAAAAAAATCACAACTTCTGGAAATGAAGGACACACTTAGAGAAATGCAAAACACACTGAAAAGTCTCATCAATAAAATGACACAAGTGGAAGAAAGAATCTCAGAGTTCGAAGACAAGGCTTTTGAATTAACCAAATCCAACAAAGACAGACAGAGACACACACACACACACACACACAAAGAATTAAAAAAAAGAGCAAAACTTCAAAGGAATTAGGGATTATGTTAAACCATGAAACCTAAGAATAATTGGTGTTTCCGAGGAAGAAGAGACATCTAAAACTTTGAAAAATACATTGAGGAAGTAGTTGAAGAAATCTTCCCTGGCCTTGCGAGAGATCCAGGCATCCACATACAAGAAGGTCAAAGAACACCCAAGAAATTCATGTCAAAATGATCATTGCCAAGGCACATAGTCATCAGGTTATCTGAAGTCAGGAAGAAGGAAAGAATCTTAAGAGCTATGAGGCAAAAGCAGCACAAAACCTATAAAGGAAAATCCATCAGAGTAACAACAGATTTCTCAGCAGAAACACTACAAGCTAGAAGGAGTTGGGGTTTAATCTTTAGCCTCCTTAAACAAAACAATTATCAGCCAATAATTTTTTTTTTTTTTTTTTAGATGGAGTTTCACTCTTGTTGCCCAGTCTGGAATGCAATGGTGTAATCTCAGCTCGCCGCAACCTCTGCCTTCCAGGTTCAAGTAATTCTCCTGCCTCAGCTTCCCGCGTAGCTGTGATTACAGGCATGCAGCACTAGGCCCTGCTAATTATTGTATTTTCAGTAGAGATGGGGTTTCTCCATGTTGGTCAGGCTGGTCTCGAGCTTCCATCCTCAGGTGATCCACCCGCCTCGGCCTCTCAAAGTGCTGGGATTACAGGCATGAGCCATTTCACCCAGCCTCAGACAATACTTTTTATCCAGTGAAACTCAACTTAATAAAAGAGAAAAGAAGTCTTTTTCAGACAAACAAATACTGAGAGAATTTACCACTACCAAGCCAGCTCTACAAGAACTGCTAAAAATAGTTTTAAATCCTGTAACAGAACCTCGAAGTGCACCAAAATGGAACCTTCTTAAAGCATAAATCTCGCAAGACCTATAAAACAATAAGACAATGAAAATGACAAAACAAAACAAGATATTCAGGCAACAACTAGCGTAATGAATAGAATAGTACTTTACATGTCAATACTAATGCTGAATGTAAATGGCCTAAATGCTCCACTTAACAGATACAGAATGGCAGAATGGATAAGAATTCACCAATCAAGTATCTACTATCTTCAAGAAACCTACATAACACATAAGGATTCACATAAACTTAAGGTAAAGGGGTGGAAAAATATATTTCATAGAAATGGACACCAAAAGCAAGCAAGAGTAGCTATTCTTATATTAGACAAAATACTTTAAAGCAAAAACAGTTAAAAAACACAAAGGACATTATGTAACCATAAAAGGACTATTCCAACAGGAAAATATCACAATTCTAAATATATATTCACCTAACACTGGACATCCCAAATTTATAAAACAATTAGTACAGACCTAAAAAATTAGATAAATGGCCACACAGAAGTGGAGGACTTCAATACTCTGCTGAAAGCACTAGACAGGTCATTAAGACAGAAAGTCAACAAAGAAACAATGGACTCAAACTATAGCCTAGACAAATGCCCTTAGATATTTAAAGAACATTCTACCCAACAATTGTAGAATGTACATTCTATTCATCAGCACACAGAACATCCTCCAATATAGACAATATGATAGGCCACAAAACAAGTCTCAATAAATATTAAGAAATTGAAATTATATCAAGTACTTTCAGATAACAGTGGAAAAAAATTGGAAATAAACTCCTAAAGGAACCCTCAAAGCTGTTGAAATACATAAGAATTAAATAACCTGCTCCTGAATGATCATTTGGGTTAACAATGAAGTCAAGATGAAAGTTATAAAATTCTTTGAACTGAATGATAATAGTGACACAACCTATCAAAATCTCTGGGATAAAGCAAAGGTGGTGCTAAAAGGAAAGTTCATAGCCTTAAATGCCTACATCAAAAAGTCTGAAAGAGCAGAAATAGAAAATCTAAGGTCACAACTCAAGGAACTAGAGAAACAGGAGCAAACCAAACCCAAATCCAGCAGAAGAAAAGAAATTACAAAGATCAGAGCACAACTAAATAAAATTGAAAGAAACAAATTAAAAAATACAAGAGATAAACGAAACAAAAACCGGGTTCTTTGAAAAGAGAAACAAAATTGGTAGCAAAATTAACCAATAAAATAAGAGAGAAGATCCAAATAAGCCAATTAGAAACAAAACAGGAGGCATTAGAACTGATACCACAGAAACACAAAAGATTATTCAAGGCTACTATGAATAGCTTTATGCACACAAACTAGAAAATCTAGAGGAGTTGGATTAATTCCTGGAATATACAACCCTCCTAGATTAAACCAGAAAGAAAAAGAAACTCTGAAGAGACCAATAACAAGCATCAAGACTGAAATGATAATTAAAGAATTGCCAACAACAAAAAAAAGTTCAGGACCAGATTGATTCACACCTGGATTCTATCAGACATTCAAAGAAGAATTGGTACCAATCTTGTTGATGCTATTCCAAAAGATAGAGAAAGAGGGAATCCTTCCTAAATCATTTTATGAAGCCAGTATCACCCTACTATCAAAATCAGGAAAGGACATTAAAAAAAGAAAACTACAGTCCAATATCCCTGATGAACATAGATGCAAAAAAATCTCAACAAAATACGAGCTAACTGATTCTAACAGCATATCAAAAAAAAAAAAAAAAAATCCAACATGATCAAGTTGGTTTTACACCAGGGATGCAGGGATGGTTTAACCTATGCAAGTCAATAAATGTGATACACAACATAAACAGAATTAACAAAAATCATATGATCATCTCAGTAGATGCAGAAAAAGCATTTTGGAACATCCAGCATCACTTTATCATTAAAACCCTCAGCAAAATCGGCATGGAAGGAACATACCTTAAGGTAATAAAAACCATTTTTGGCAAACCCATAGCCAACATTATACAGAATGGGGAAAAGTTGAAAGCATTCCTCTTGAGACCTAGAACAGGACAAGGATACCCACTTTCACTACATCTGTTGACCATAGTACTGGAAGTAATAGCCAGAGCAATCGGACAAGAGAAGGAAATAAAGAGCATTTAAATCAGTAAAAAAGAAGTCAAACTGTCGCTATTCAATGACAATATGAGTGTATACCTAGAAAACCCTAAAGACTAATCCAAAAAGCTCCTAGAACTGATAAATGAACTGAGTAAAGTTTCTGTATAAAAAGTAAATGTACACAATCAGTATCACTTGTATATACCAACAGTGACCCTGCTGAGAATCAAATGAAGAAGTTAACTTTTTTTATAATAACTGTAAATGTGAATGTATGTAAATACACACACACGTATACATACAGACACACACGCACACTCACATACATACTTAGGGATATATGTAGTGAAGGAAGTATGCCTAATGAAGGAAGTGAAAGACCACTACAAGGAAAACTGCAAAACACTGCTGAAGGAAATCATAGATGATGCAAACAAATGGCAACCCATTCTATGCTCATGAATGGGTAGAATCAATATTGTGAAAATGACCATACTGCCCAAAGCAATCTATAAATTCAATGCAATTCCCATTAAAAGTTTCCTGAGGTCTCCCAGGCATGTGGAGCTGTGAGTCAATTAAATCTCTTTTCTTGATAAATTACCCTGTCTTGGATATTTATTCATAACAGCATGAGAATGCACTAATACACCCAGATTTTGCTTCCCATTTTACCTAATAAGTAGGTACAATTCTGAGTTCTAATTCAGTAGAAGACTTAGATTTACTTTCAGGAATTATTATCAGAGATAGTAAGTATACAACTCTGGAAGAAAACAATAAAACAAAACTAAACATCTCAAATATCAGTAACCATCTACCCACTCCCTAATAGATGACAGTTTTTTCCATTCTTTGGGGATTGTTCCTTCCTGACATCAAAGATCATAACCTACAGATACTAAAGCTGTGAATATCCCAGCGCAATCACTCATTTAGATATTTCACAATAGAGAAAATCTTAAAACTTCCAAATAAGAGTAGAAAACTTCTTTATGTATAAAGTTTCAAAAATCAATAGTATTTCAGTCTTTTCAAAAGCAATACTAGAATCTGGACAATATTGGATAAAGTTTGAAGAAGATGATTTCACATTTGTAAGTCTATTCACACCAAAGATATTTATGACATGAGAAAGTAGAGTAAAAATACGATCACACATAATGGCTTCAAAATAATACATCTAGATGTCCTTTCTCTGTAGCCAATTAACAGATACATTCAACAAAAATGTGGGAATAAAAAAAGAAAAAGAAAGATGTGAAATAAACATATAAGAATTAATAAAAAATTGAAGAGAATTCCAAAAGAATATGTAAAAGATAAGCAAAGACATTGCTCTGCACTTGCCTTAGAATTCAGTAAGCAGAGACTGAACTAGAAGAATACAAATATCAAGGAAGCAAGGTCATATAATTCAAATAAAAATGATATATTAACTAAAATATTTTGGTAAAGTATTTTGACTGTACTGCAAGATTTATACTGGGGAGACTTTGGCAATGTATTTTTAACACCTGCTTTGATATCAAAGCAAATGGAAGAGAGAGAAATACAGAAGGGGAAGTAAGGACAGCAGAATAATGCTAGAATAACACAAAATACTTGAATATCAGAAAGAAAGTCCTGGTACTACATGTCTTATACTTGACTACTATTACACAGATTTAATAATATAAACATATCATACCTTTATGATAATATACTATGTATTATTATTGGTAAATATAAGAAGTGGAGAAGTGTGTAGGTGATTGTTTATGGGCAAGTTGGATGTTTAGGAGTGAAGGGAAAGATGAAATAGAGACTGAAACCTTGTCTTTCTTTGTGGAATTCCAATATATAATGGCTAAAATTCATCAATAAAAGAAAACTAGTATTTATGTGTTCTAAAAAACACGGAGGTATGTAAAAAAGAAATTACTGGAGTAATTGAAAATGATTGTCTATGGAAGAGTAAGCATTGGCAGTTGGCAAAGTAAATGAAACTATTATTTTACTTTAGAGTCTTTTAGAACAACTTTACTTCAAAGGAAATAAAACAATGTATGCAGTAGGTCATATAACTCTTAACAAAATACATTTTTATCCACTCACCCATGTACCTGATTGTAAAATGATTTTTCCAAAAGAAACCTCTGATTTGATTTTTCCCATTTACTATAAAAATTACATATATCTATATATGAGAATAATTGTACACAGTATTCTACACTCATTTTTCTTTCATTAAAATATTTTAAGATCCTGTTACTTCATTATGTTTGTGCTATTCTTTTAATATTTTATATTATTCTGTGGTCTTTCATTGTGTGTCACATTTCACTAATTTCAAGCAGACTTTTAAAAACATCTCTGAAACTAAATTGTGTCTTATAATTGATAGTGTCTTTCTGATATAATTGGTAGTTTTATGTTTTGTTTTCATTTGTAAGTATATAAAATACTAATGTAATTAACAATAGTATTATACATTAAATAAAATTATGTTAAATCAGTCTCTAAGACATGTAGGTAATTCTCTGTACTTCAAAGTTAAAAACAATATTGGAATGTTGTGATAGATATATGAAAACTTTTTGGCACAAGTGAAAAATGTCATTAGCATTAAAAATATAGAATGAAATTTCTAGGTCAATGTAAATGCATTTTTAATTTTGATAAAATAAGAGAATTGACTTGTAAGGAGGATATAATTTCTCTATTCTTTTTGAAGCATTGATGTCTTTAGGACTACAAAACACCTTTTTAATTTTAGTCATTATTATTGTTGCCAGGCAAATTGGTTGAAATGGTAACACCTTGTATTGTGGTTTTATTCATTTTTTTTTAATTACAAGAAAGTGAGACACACTTAAATGGTTTATATCACTTATAATTTTATTTAATGTGAAGTACTTCTTCATATAGTTTTCTCATTTTCTATTGAGTCATTGGTATCAAAATATTTATGGAAACTCTTCAAATATTAAGCAGCATAATTGTTCCATGATTAATTTGTAAATATTATTTAATAAATATTTATAATTTCTAATAATATAAATAGACACTTAATATATTCTATTTAAGGATAATAATTCACCAGAAAATTATGTTACTTGTGCTTAATTAATTGGACCAAATGCATGTTTTATTTTTGAGAATTACATTATTTCATTCAAGGATTTATTAAGAGAGAAAGAGAAATAATTATGTGCATTAAAATATTATATTTTTGATAATCACTATTTTCCATATTTGAATCCTGCTTTATCAAAACTATATATGCCTTTGAATAAGTAAAATAAAACCCTATATGACTTTCAAAAAGTCAGAATTTTAAATGCAAAACCATTTTAAAATGTTTTGCAAATTATATACATTCTAAGCATTGCCACATAAATATCATATACATTAAGATAACTCTACACTTACCTCCTTTTACCCCATTGGTAAAACATACTTCTAATTATTGCGAATGATATAAATTTGTAATCAGACTGGAAATACACTGGAAAATATTGAAATTGTTCAAACTTGCATCTGAATGACCAGTGTAACCTCACCTAGACAGTGAACATAACTTTATTATATTGTAAACTTTTTTTCTTAGAGATAATATCACTGTGCCACACAAATATAAAAATAGGAAATTAAACTAGATAAGAGAGTAGCAATGACAGGCAAAGACAGTGTAAGAGAGATACGCTGTATCTACATCTACCAGAATCAGCTGGAGCTCTGTGGCAGCAGGGAGAACTAGCATTCCCAAACCACCTCTGATATCACAGCGATGGTATTCAGGAACTGTCAAAATGAAGCCTTAACTGATCCTAATTTCCAGGATGATATATAGCAGCAGACAGTGCCTCAATGAAACCTTTGTTTACTTACAACTTTAATAACCTAGGCAATAGAAATGGGAAAATCTATAAACTGCTTTTAAAAGACATTTTATAAACCTTTAGGACAACCTCATTTCAATGTTTAGCATATGCATTCTAATTTGAGACCATGTGGCAAAATGTTCCTAACCTAGACTTGTTGTTTCTTTATCAGCTGTCAGAAGAAAATTCATTTTGACATTAAAGCCATTTATGTTTCACCTCTGTGATAACATATTTTATTCTACAACTTATTGAACATATAATGTAAACAAAGCAACAGTGTCCTCACTATTGGTATTATTTAAAAATAAACTAATAAAGCAGATACTTTACAAGTTTCAAAGTATAATTTGGAATCAAACATTTTACTAACAATTTTACTTGCTATATTTATATTGGAAGGTCCATACTTTTTCTCCATCTAGCATGTTAGCACATTATAGATTTTAATCAAGTATACTTTTCCTAATTACTTCCCTGGATTTAGATGGCATTGAAATACTTTCATGGCTGGATAAGTCAGGCAACATAATCATAAGATTGTCCTGTGTAGGCAAGATCTTCAGCAGCTAGAACTTTTAAATTGTACACTGCACAGAGGACATATTCAATATAAGCAAAGTTTTTGAATTTTTTTCTACCCCCAGAGGTCTATACACCTGTGTCTTTCTCAAATTTCTTTGTTCCTGATATTCCAGTCTTTCTCTTTCTAACCCCCTAACAAGGCCAACTGTATGTTTGCCAATGCTCAGTAGCCTCTCTCTCACTATATATATTTTTTCACATTATATATATATGTAGTCACATATTATATATATGTGTGTGTGTATATATATATATACATACCCAATATATTCACATATTTCATATATATATATATATATATATATATACCCAATATATTCACGTATTCCTTGATTCTGAATTCTTTCTGTACAAATGAAATGACCAGAAGCACTGCCCAAAGCACTTCCCACTGGATTAACCCCCCACTGCTGACTTTTAGAGACACCTTTATGTGAGGTTGTAGTGAAGCAGTTCATTTTTAGCTTGCACCTACACTCTGAGCTGACAATGAATGAGCCAAGCTTGTTACTTTTCTCCTTTGTCGGTTGTAAATGATCTCTCCATAGGGCCACAGTTGTCAGCTGAGACAGAGGTGCTGTTGGAATTTTTGGTGGATGACATGACACTCTGCATGTACTAAACATGAATCTTGGTTTTGTCCTTAGACTTTGCACATGCTTGATGCTGAATGCACTACTTTTATCTTTTGATGGATTGCTGCTGAAGACATCAGATCTTTTGATTTCGTGAGTATGACAGGATTCAGCTCCTGAGGAGGTGCTCTAGTATTATGGCCACTTGATGTATTGTGCTCCGAGACAAATAACACGTCAGGAACTTTTTAAAAAATGGTGTAACATTCTCTGTTGCGGGTGGCATGGCTTTGATCTAATACCCTTATAGCCTATTTGATGATTCTCCTCTTAGGACTTGTCATAAACGCCCCAAGACATCTTATGCCATCGTAGATTCATATAATATCATAGAGTTGGGCTAATAGATTGCCACCAGCACCAGATCTGTTTACACCATAGCCTGGACTCCCTAAAGAGTCTTTTTCTCCTACAGGTCACGTTCAAATCAAATAGCCCTTTTCCACCTTCATAAATTTATGGAGGCAGGTTTGTCAAAGTGAAGTGTGCTAAGCCCCAGACTTGTGCGTTGTGCATCTTTTTTTATGTTAGGAAGGTAAAGAATGTATAATTCTTTACTTTGGAAGGCATATTTGATTTTACCACTGGCACAAGAAAATTTCACTGATGAGGCAGGTTTGTAACATTTCTTTCCCTTTGCCTCCTACGGTCTGTATCCTCTGTAGATCATTTGTCTTATAAAAGTCTCCTATGTTTTCACACTCTTTGGACATCCACTTTGATAATATAATATCATTAATATAATGGAATACCATGATAGTATGTAACAAGTCAAGATTTTCCAGGGTTTTTGAACTATCTTATGATTGGGTTAGTGGTAGGGTGTAGCTAATTTAGTCCTTAGTGTATGCTTGACTTTCTCACATGAACACACACTGCTCCTCTTGCTTGATAGGAATAGAAAATGTATTTACCATGCACAACATACTAGAGACTGTGTCAATATGCCTAGTATCACAACTGCAAATGGGGCTAGAACTCTTTGAATGTGTGGAATCTCACTGTTCCCCTCTGAATCTGTTAAGTTTATGTGGTTCCAAAGTGATGACCTAAGTGGAGATATGAAGGGGATCACCGCCCTTGCATAAGGTAATTTATGGAGGCTGTGATCATCACCTTCTTCTAAAAATGAAATTATTTTTTATGTTTGTAACCATTGCAAGGGAAGTCCATTTCAGTAATTTCACTAGATCTTTTCTACTTGCCCAAAATACCAAAAAAACAAGGTGGCGATTCTGTCAGTCCCAAGTATGCCCATTCCAATTATAAATTTGGGCACTGAAAAAATTATCAAGTGTGCCCATGTATCTGGTGAATTCATCATGCACAAAGACTCAGAATTATATTGCATTTAGTGCTTGGACCTCTGCTATGGTTTGGATATTTGTCCCAACTAAAACTCACATTGAAATTTAATCCCTGATGTGCCAAAAATATTTTTTTTTTTTGTAAATTACTCCATTTCAAGTGCTGTGTTTTAAGCAACAGAAAACATAGTAAGACAGAAAATTGGTATGGAGAGTGGGGTGTTGCTGATAACAAATATATGAAAATGTAGAAGCAACTTTGAAATTGGGTAATAGAGGCTGAAATAATTTGGAGGAGCAAACTAGATTCTACTGAGGACATAGGAGACAAGAAGACAAGAGAAAGGAACTCCTTAGAGATATGTTAATTGGTTGTGACCAGAATACTGATAGAAATGTAGACAGGAAAGGCCATTCTGTCAAGGTTTGAAATGGGAATGAGAAAAACATATTTGAAACTGGAGTAAAGGCTATTCTTGTCATAAACTGGCAAATAACCTGGCTGAATTGTGTTCATGCCTGAGGGCATTGTGGAAGATAACTAAAGAGTGATGATCTAGGGAACTGGACAGAAGAAATGTGATTCAGGAGCAAATAAATAATTTAAAGACATAATTTATAGTTCAAAGGGAAGCATAGTGGTAAGACTTGGACAACTCTTAACTTGGCCATATTAAGAGTAAAAAAAGCATGCTCAGGTGAGAAAACCAAAGGTGTGGCCCAGCACCTGTTTTCTAGAGACATTATTAGCAGTTCCAGAAGGGAACTAGGTACTATTCCCAAAGACAATGGTAGAAAGACCCAGAAGGTATTTTAGAAATCTTAGAGGCTACCTCTTCCAATACAGTCCAGAGGCCTAGGAGGGCACAGTGGTTTCAGGCCCAGGGCACTCTTCACAGGCCAGCCACCTGAGACTGCCTCAGAACTCTGATCCTTTCACTCTAGCACAGTGCTCAGATGCCACCCTAGCTCAAACATCCCTAGGTGAAGGTACAAGTTGTCAATCTTGGTGGCACCCAAAGCAAGAGCTGTGAAGGCTTGGAAACCTCCTCCCAGATTTTAAAGGATGTCATAGAAAACCTAAAGAACCAGGCAAAGATATTTTTTGTGGGTGGAGACAGAGAAGAAAGACCCCATTAGAGCAATACCAAGAAGAAATGTGAGGTTGGGAATGTCACAGCTAATTCCCATTAGGTCCATGCTTAGTGGAACTATGGGAGTAGAACCACCACCAGGACATCAAAACTAAAAAGTCATTGGCA
The DNA here is from genome assembly GCF_000001405.40 of Homo sapiens. Lineage (NCBI taxonomy): Eukaryota > Metazoa > Chordata > Mammalia > Primates > Hominidae > Homo > Homo sapiens. The sequence goes on from NC_000013.11 coordinate 86,063,337, forward strand.
GCATGCATCACCTGTCTGAGAAAGCTTCAGGCACCAAACTCTAACCCTATGAGCAGCCACATGCATTGTACCCAGGAAACCTTAGGGGCAAGGCCACCTGTGAGCTTGGGAGCCTAACTCCTGGAGGTGCCACATGGATGGAGTCAAGAGAGATTATTCTCTGATTTTAAGATTTAATGTTTTCACTGCTGGGTTTGACTTACTTAGACCCCGTTACTCCTTTCTTTTTGCCTAATGTTCCCTTCTGGAATGGGAAAGTCTGTCTTATGCTTATACCATCATTGAATCTTGGAAGTAGATAACTTATTTTGGTTTTAGGGTCTCACAAGTGAAACTCTGGGCTTTGGACTTTTAAGTTGGTGCTGGAAGGAGTTAACTGATTTGTAAAGAAAAGAGGTTTAATTGGTTTATAGTTCCGCAGGCTATACAAGCATGGCTCTAGCATCTTCCGTTGAGGGCCTCAGGAAGTTTTAATCGTGGCAGAAGGCAAAGAGGAGCAGGTGTGCCACATGGCAAGAGCAGGCGCAACAGAGCAAGGCTGGGAAGATCCCAGGCTTTTAAACAACCAGATTTCATGTGAACTGACTGAGGACTAACTCACTTATCACCAAGGGGATGATGCCAAAACATGCATAAGGGATCCTCCTTGTGAATCCCTAGTGAGATCCATTACCTCCCACTAGGCCCCACCTCCAACATTGAGAATCACATTTCAACATGAGATTTGGAGGAGACAAACATCCACGTTATATCACAGGGGTCAATGGGTTAATGGATTAATGGGTTATCACGGGGGTGGGACTGATGACTTTATAAAAGAGGAAGAGAGGACTGAACTAGCACACTCAGCCCCCTCACGATGGGATGCCCTGATCTTGGGATTCTGAAGAGTCCCCACCAGCAAGAAGGCTCTCAACAGATATGCCCCCTTTACCTTGGACTTCCCAGACTCCAGAAATGTCAAAAATAGGTTTTATTTCTTATAAATTACCCACTTTCAGGTATTCTGTTATAAGCAATAGAAAACAGATTAAGAGAGCACTCTCCATTTTCACTCTGACATGGGAGCCATGATATTGCTTTGTGTCTTCAGTTATCATTGTCCAGGTGGACACAGTGTACAACAGGTTTTTGTACATTTTTGTATGTTTTAGTACTGCAATTTTCCTGGTATATGTTTACCTGAGTAAAAGTTTATAGATCACTTTGTAGAAAGAATAGCAGAATTATTATTGTGTATATTTGCATTGTGTTCCAGTATCTCTCCTCAGGGCCAGACTTCTCTTTGGTCTATGGGCTTCTGGGCTGAGAACTGGTTCAAATCTGAAACCTCCAGGTGAGGGGGTTCATTGGGAAGGCTGCTACTGCTTCCTAATCATTCATCCTGGATTTACTGTGGCTGCTACATAAAACAATATCTCTTTTGAGTGACCGTGTCTCTTACCCCTGGGAACTCCATGTTCCATTTAATATCTCCATAGTTCTCCATGGGTCAAGCCTTTCTAACTGCCAGTTTTAGAGCTCTACTCATTATGATAATTAGATTCACCTGTTTTCATTTGATTAACCACCACCACCTGGTCACTATTAATTCTTTGAATCTTATCTTGTCTATTACTGTTAAGGTAGCCAGTTCTAAAGCAGCATTTCTTCTCATCAGCTTTTGCTTACAAAAGATAGCCACCACTGAGCTCCTTAATAATACTGGTTATTCTCTCACCAGTGTATTCCTGTGTCTTTACCTGTCTGTTCTACGTAAGATCCAGATGAGTCAAGGCAGATGACGGGGGTTACCGTAAACACAGTGATTTTCCCTGACTATTCTACTCTGCTGGATGGGGTGACTTCACTGGAGCAAATCAATGCATATGATAGGCAGCTATTGATTTTATGAAGGTGTTCTTTTAGATACTCAGCAGGGAGAATCAAAAGCAGTTTGTCTTTCATCAAAAGAAAAGGAATTAAAGGGGCAGTGGCTTATCACTCTCTAGCTTCAAGATTATTTTAACTATCCTTCTATGACATACAGCAACTTTGATTGTCATGACATTCCACATAGCAACATATAGGTCCTCTAATTTGATGGCATTTCAAATAGTTCTAGTGAAAAAAAATCTGTTGTTACTCAGATGTCCATTAGATATCCTGGACACTCTATAAAGACACATTCCAAGCCAGAGAGTGGAAATAAATCCCTGAACACTCTGTAAAGATATATTCAACACGGGGAGTGAAAATAAACCCCATAACTATTCAGAGAAGTTTTAATACATTGACTTGTTATGGGTCTGTTGTCTTGAGTATTCAAGGGGATTGCTTCTAAGTAAAATTATGAATGGCCTTACCAACCCAGTTTGTATTAGACAGCTACATTACTTTTCAAAAGTTTCATGGTTAGAAAGATTTCCTACTTCTATGCAAAAATGTCAAATTCTTGAAAGCTGCTGCCACTCCCACACAAGAATTAAAATATCATACTAGAAAATCACAAGGCAATCATGGTTTTGTTATTCTAATCTTAAAAGACCTCATTCACAAGCTAATATTGAGCCATGTCAGGGAAACTCAAACCCTCAAAGATGCCTCAGTGTGAAAGCTGCTTCTTTTTGTCAGAAGATTCCATCAACAAAATTATCAGACTCATACACTTGAAGTTCAAAGGAGTCATTAGGGATAAACTTCTGTACATGAAGCCCTTCCTGATCAATATAATTTCTTCCGATACTTATGGGATGGGGAATTACAAGCATATAGCTTATCAATTACTACCACATATTCTCAGGTAGAAGGAATAGCATATTTTAAATTGGCTCAAAAGGTCCTAGATGCAAGATCATTTTTATCTGTGTTGCGCTGTATGTAATGAGCCTTTTTACCCAGGCTACTTTTAAGATTTTCTCTTTATTACTGGTTTTGAGCAATTTGATTTTAATGTATTGTGGTGTAGTTTTCTTCATATTTCCTAACCTTGGATTTTGTTGAGCTTTTTGGATGTATGAGTCATGAAGTTTTGCTGTCTAGCTGATGGGAATAAGCATTATACCTAGCCCTCTGTGAATGTCTAAAAATATTATCTCTAATCCACTAGAGTGGTTCTAATCAGAGCTTCCAGTAGTTTTTTTCACATGTTCTGATCAGTACTTAATAAATAACAAAAGTAGTGCCTCTGAATATTTGAGTATCTCTCTGTGCACCTCTCTCCTCTCCAATTACAATGTTCTGTGAATTTTAGCTGCCTTGTCCTATCCAGATTCTCTGCTCCATTTTCTCTACTAAAGGTGTCCCGTGGGCTTTTCCTGTTATTCCTTCCAGATAACATCCAGGAAATTCTCTCAAGGTAGCATGTTTGGGTGATTATAGACCTCACCTCATTGGTTTCCCATGTCTTTAGGATCACTGATCTTCAGGGACTCTGTTACATTTGGTTGTTTCAGGAAGCGAAGTAAATCTGGCTCCAGCTATTCCACCTTGGCAAGAAGTAGAAGCAGAGTAAATCTGGGTCTGGCTATTCCATCTTGGCAAGAAATAGAAGTATAACAGGATTTCACAGTTGAAATCCTGTTATATTTTAAGTTCCTGACAATTAACTATATTTTATACCCAAGATTGCTGAAACCTTTGTTAATCTTTTGATTTTTTTTTCAATGCATTCTATGGTTAATTCCAACAAGCCTGAAATTAGCCTGAGCTCCTTCATTAAAACGTAATTTGTATCTGAATTCCACTGACCCTTGGTAGAGACATAAAATATGCTGATTAACAGTGTACATAGTAACCATGGGTCTTAGAAAATTTGGGGTGATATTTACCAGCTTATCTGTATTGTCTGTAGACTACAGTGAGATTGATCGTTTACATCTGTTCTCAGTGAGAACACCCCAGGATTCTGCATTGAAGAGCCATTATACAGTAAGAAGATTCCTTCTAAATAAGCCAGGTATTAGAAATTCTGGATGAGTCTCCATTTTGGGCTCCCTGGTTCTGAGTTGTGCCATGAATATCAATAGTTCTCCATTCTGGAGGGAAAACTCAGTATGGTCCTTACAAGGGGAGAACAACTGGAATTGTACCTAGCCTCTTCTTATTGCTTAGTTTGACGCAAACTGTGGCTGCTTTGCATACCCTTAATTTAATGTTGTTGTTTATTGCACTGCTTTTGGCAATAAACTGGATATTTGTAAGGACTTTCATCATATGTCTTACGACTCTTTTTTAGCATTAATCAGTTGCTTTCTGGGAGGCTCACATTGCTGATACTCTGCTTGAGATTAGGCAAAAGCTTTGAGAGGAAATAATATGCAGTGTTTCAGGGTACCTTTCCGAATATGCTTTCTCCTCTTTAAATCCCAGCCTCCATGGAAATCCTGAACCCCTTATTTTGCATCCCCAGCTACTAGAGAGTATTTCAAACTTACTATTTTTTCAGCATCTTGTATATTTTCTTTACCCACGAATCAACAAATGAGCCAAAATTAAACAACAACAACCACAACAACAACAAAACAGAAGGTAAGTGTGAAGTTCTCATTTGTTTGCTACTTTTTTTTCAGGTATTTTTGACTTTCAACCTGCCTGTCCCAGTTGTTCCTCAATGACTTAACACTTTCTGCATGTATTTTCAACTTTGTAGTTTTTGTTTTGTTTTGTTTTGTTTTGTTTTTTGAGACGGAGTCTAGCTCTGTCGCCAGGCTGGAGTGGCTCAATCTCGGCTCACTGTAACCTCCGCCTCCCGGGTTCAAGCAATTCTCTTGCCTCAGCTTCCCAAGTAGCTGGGATTACAGGCACACACCACGACGCCCAGAAAATTTTTGTATTTTTAGTAGTGATGTGGTTTTGCCATGTTAGCCAGGATCGTCTCGATCGCCTGACCTCGTGATCCTCCCTCCTGGGCCTCCCAAAGTGCGGGGATTACAGGCGTGAGCCACTGTGCCCAGCCAGCTTTGCAGTTTTTATAGTGTAAATGTTAGTATGATATGGTGTATGTTCTAATTACTGATATTGAAATACCTGAGGTACATTTTAACATCTTATATAGTGGACTGAAATTACAAAGCATTCTTACCACTGTATTCAAATGTAAGTTTCAATATTTACACTGTCTAATGTGGTGGCTGCTAGACAATGTGGGTATGTATATTTAAATTCATTAAAATTAAAGTACAAATTTTATTGCTCTGTTGCATTTGCCACATCTGGCTAATGGCTACTTTTTGCATAGTGAAAATATAAAAGGTTATTTTGGACAGTTTCAGACAGTTTATACAAGACTTGCCAGAATAATGGCACCAAACTTTTCTTCCAATTTTGGTAATCACACTCAAAGCTAACAAATCATTCAGAGGTAAAATACTGGTAGAAAGAGAATCTTAAGACAAAGAAAGTTATCAGAATGCTGCGAGTACATTATTCCAGACCTACCACCTATAAGCCAAATGAGATGTGCTTAAAATTATTTGCAGAACTTCTACTAGCTATTTGGGTCCCCTGTTGATAACTAAATAATATAATGTTTTTGTGGCTTTACCACAAATCTGTTTGAGTTCTCTTGAAGCCTGCAGCTTTCCATAAGCTAGAAACCCAAATCCTAGGATCAGGGGTAGGTTAAAGTAGCATGTAACCTCCAATTAATGAACTACTCTTGTTCGTCTTCTCACATGGTATACATTTATCTGCTTTTTATATATCTTTTCAATTTATCATTCATAGTAACATATACATTAGAATTTCAGTCCTCCATATTTTAAAATTATTTTTGTTTACTTCATATTTCACTGCTTTTGGCCTGGAGCAAAGTTATTTTTCAGAGCACACACCAATAAGGCGATGTTAATCAAGTGTCTTGTTTACTGCGTAGCTTTGCTATTCTTAGCATGATGATTTTGAACCACAACACAAAAAACTTCAACTCTTTTGTCTTTCTTTTAAGTATATTCCCAATTACCATAACTACTACAGTTTTCAAGGGTTTACCTAATTCTAAAAAGTTTTGATACATATTATTTAAGTTCCTACTGGTTTTTCATATGTTATAGATTCAGCCAGTTTTGAATTTCTGTAATCTCTCTTCATGCTTAACTTAATATGTTACCAAAACACCAGGAGTTTGGTCTAGGTCCTGCTGCTTGCCGCACAGAAGCCAATGACTGAGACAACGAGTATTGCCAAGGAAGAAGTGTTTAATTGGGTGTTGCATGAGGGGATTGGAACTCAGTCTCAAATCAAGAACCCACCAATTCCAGACACATTTGGTTGGCAAGAAGTACTTTATTGAAAAAAAAAGTTTTATGAGTTTGAGTTCTATTATAATAGCAGTTCCCTTATACTTTTAAGTTTTTCAACGTCCATTATTTACATTTAAATACATGTCATTTATAGTTTAGAAGTATGAATATTTTTAAAACACTAATAATTTGCCTTGTATAATTTAATTGCTTTATAAGGACGGTTTAAAAATTGTTAGATTAAATTTTTAAATCTGTATGTGTTACCACAGAATAGCTCACGTTGCAAAATGAATCTGATTGACCTGTTGGTAAGCACATTTATTATTGGTTTCTGCACAAAATATTTGGGTGATTGTAAATAATATGCTTTACATATGCCAAAAATTATCTTGGAAGCCATAATTTCTACCCTCTTTTGACTTTTTTAACTTGTGAAATAAGGAAAAGTAGATTTATCTTTCATGAATGCCAAAATTGTGCTCAAGAATGTAAGAATTCTGCTTCAGAGGGTGTGTTACTCACAAATGCTGAACTTTTTTTTTTGTCCACAATTAGTACAGAATTCTTCAAATTAAACATTACTACATAACTCTAAAGGCTGTGGATTGAATAAAGACCAAATTAAATTTCTCTTTTAGGTCAATACTGAGTATATGACATCAGTGTATATGTTGTAAAAGGCTCCATGTTATTTTTAAACTCAAAAGATTCCTTTACAATATAATATATGATTTGGGGATCTTAGTACTAAGAAATATTTTCAATAACAAATGCTCAGTTCTAGGTCTGTTTCACAAAATTCCTGTAAATTTTATCCACATTATTCACAATATCATTAGTTAGTTAAAATAACAAAAATTGCATTAGAAGTAAACATTTGTAATACATATTTTCACAGTAACACTGTATTCAAAGTAAAATAATAAAAGAATGAATTGAAAGTAATTACACAATTGGGAATAATTAGAATATAAAGAAACCATTATGTGATTGCTAATAATCCCTTCAAATATTAATGAATCTATTTGCATATGTGCCAAGTTAAATGTAAAAATTAATTTCACTGACCCATTAATCTTTGCCTTTCATTTGACATTTATTAGTTAAGATTCTCCATGTATGCTGAGAAGTAGAAAAAAGAACTTTTACTTTTTCCAAACTTGCTAACTGAAGTTTCAGTACTCTACAGCTTATTCTATTTCTAAATAGCTTACACATGAACTGACTGATGCTTAAAAATAAAGTTACCCAAATTTACAACATTAAGTTTTTTATTAAAGTGGTAAATGATCAGAAAGATGATTGCAGAATACTACATCTAAACCTAAATGTAAACTCAAAGCTGACATTATCTCCCTGTAATATATTCTTAGAATGAAGTTGTGAGATTTTTCAACCTAAACTATGCTTTGTATTTACAAACAGCATGGTACCGGTACCAAAAGAGATACATACACCAATGGAACAGAACAGAGTCCTCAGAAATAACACCACACATTTACAGCCATCTGATCTTTGACAAACCTGACACAAACAAGTAATAGGGAAAGGGTTCCCTATTTAATTTAATAACTGGTGCTAGGAAAACTGGCTAGCCATATGCAGAAAACAGAAACTGGACCCCTTCCTTACACCTTATACAAAAATCAACTCAAGATGGGTTAAAGACTCAAATGTAAAACTTACAGCCATAAAAGCCCTAGAAGAAAACCTAGGCAATACCATTCAGGACCTAGGAATGGGCAAAGACATCATGACTAAAACATCAAAAGCAATTGCAACAAAAGCCAAAATTGACAAATGGCATCTAATTAAACTAAAGAACTTCTGCTCATCAAAAGAAACTATCATTAGAGTGAACAGGCAACCTACAGAATGGGAGAAAATTTTTGCAATTTATCTATCTGTAAAGGGCTAATATCCAGAATCTACAAAGAACTTGAACAAATTTACAAGAAAAAAACAACCCCATCAAAAAGTAGGTGAAGGATATGAACAGACACTTTTCAAAAGAAGACATTTATGCAGCCAACAAACATGAATAAAAGCTCATCATCATTGGTCATTAGAGAAACGCAAACAAAAACCACAATGAGATACCATCTCACACCAGTTAGAATGGCAATCATTTAAAAGTCAGGAAACAATAGATGCTGGCAAGAATGTGGAGAAATAGGAATGCTTTTACACTGTTGGTGGAAGTTTAAATTAGTTCAACCATTGTGGAAGACAGTGTGGCAATTCCTCGAGGATCCAGAATCAGACATACCATTTGACCCAGCAATCCCATTACTGGGTATATACCCAAAGGACGATAATCATTCTACTATAAAGACACATGTACATGTATGTTTATTGCAGCACTGTTTACAATAGCAAAGACTTGGATCCAACCCAAAAACCCATCAATGATAGACTGGGTAAAGAAAATGTGGCACATGTACACCATGGAATACTATGCAGCAGAATGAGTTCATGTCCTTTGCAGGAACAAGGATAAAGCTAAAGCCATCGTTCTCAGCAAACTAACACGGGAACAGAAAACCAAACGATGCATGTTCTCACTCATAAGTGGGAGTCGAACTATGAGAATACATGGACACAGGAAGGGGAACATCACACACTGGGGCCTGTCGGGGGTTGGGGGCAAGAGGAGGGAGAGCATTAGGACAAATACCTAACACATACGGGGCTTAAAACCTAGATGATGGGTTGATAGTTGCAGCAGACCACCATGGCACATGTATACCTGTATAACAAACCTGTGCGTTCAGCACATGCATCTCATAACTTAAAGTAAAATAAATAAATAAAGTAAAATAAAATATTCTGGATGTGTAAATGAACTCTTGACTTGGGGCAAAAATTTTTTTTCATAAATAGGAATGGAAGTTTTCATGTAAGGTGAGTAAAAATGAGTTTAATAAGTTATTTGTAATTTATATTTGGTTAATGCTAAGATAGCTTTCTTTGCAATGATAATATAAATCATCCATTTTTCTATAAGAGATTAAAAATAGGAAGAGGAGAGTTGAAAGAAAAACTTCTAATTTCAGATTTAGCTCATAGCGTATACCATACTGTCTGTGGCATTTGTAAAAATCGTGGCAAATTCTTATGCAGCATGTTTGTCTTTTTTCTTTCTCTTATTAATTCCTAAATATTTATTAGCTCCTAAACATTTGCAGGTTATATTTTATATTCCCTACATATTTCATTTGAGGAAGTCTTATTCTTTGATTTTCATTCTGTAAAATATTTCACAGAATGTAAGACTAGATGCAGCTATCAATAACACAACAAATAACTATGTACTCAACACCCAGTTGAAGAAATAAAATCATGACAACAGAGCTGGCACTTTCTGTGAGTATTACTCTCTAATCACATCCTCCACCTTTGCTACTTACTCCCCAGAGAGTATTATATCCTACATTTTATTTTGGCAATAACATGAGCATTTCTTTTACTTTTTATATATGTATATCTTCAAGTGTTAGATTTTGGTTACATATTACATTTTTAATTCTTAAATTCTTCTTTTATTAGCAGAAGTATATAAATGTTTTTATACCTGTATTCTTACATGCATGTGAGAGAGTTCCTTGTAGACTTAGGAGAAAAATCAATGCCCTATGATGTACACAGACCTTCATTAATAGATATTACCAAACTGTTCTTCACACTAGCTGTGACAGTTTAGACTTCCTTCAAAAGTACAAAAGAGTTATCATTGTTTTACACCCTCATTATCACTTAAACTAATGACAGGATGTTAAAAATTTCCTAGCCTGGTAAGTATAAAATGTTATCCCTTTGATTTTAATTTGCATGTATCTAATGGCTAGTAAATGTAGTGGCTTGTAATAAATTAATTACCAAACATTTTTCAATTTTAGTTTTTTGTTGCAATTCTTCATAATGTTTAATTTATGTTATGTTTTATTAACCTCATCCCATGAATTTTAAGTAGTATTTAATTAGTATTTTATTGTTCTTCTATTCCAGTTATGTTCTATATTCGTTGTTATTGATTATTTAATCCAGGTTATTTAAAAATACATGTGATATTTATGTATTTCTTGTGTGTCAGTCTTTTTAATAAGAGCTAACAACCACTGGGTGTGCATTCAGTGCTAAGCACCGTTCCTGCTAGCGGTGTTAAATTTTATATATTGTATTGCAAAATATATAGCCTCTGTAAGATAAATAGTATTCATATATCCATTTTAAAGCCAAAGAAATTGCATTAGAAAAAAATTAAGCAACATGCCCTGGCTAATGTGTCAATGAATAAGTAATTTGTTCCTAAGAAGTCTGATTTGAAAATGTACCCTTTATAAAACTTTATGGTATATTATGATTCATAACAAATTTATACAATTAGTCATAAAATTTATTCCAGGCAAACTGTATTGTCAAATAAAATATATACATATGGGGCCATAATCAAGCCAGAACAAACACAAAAGGCATGAAAAATGTTACAGATTTAAGAGACTCACGTTCTTGGGTGCCTAATGTTAAACACTGCTCAACCTTCAACCCACACTTCAAGCAATGGGAAGTTCTTAATAAGGAATTAATCAAGCATAAAGAAAAGCAGATCTTTCCTTACGGAAGGCTGCACGTGATAAGGTGGCAAAACCTGGTGCTATAAGACAGGCACACTCAGGGATCACCTTGAAAGACAGTTAAAGTGAGATGTGCACAACCTAACAGCTTGAGATGTAGGCCTTATTTCCATTTCCAGGAAATAAAGTGTTTCAAGGTCATAATCAACACAATTTATGATCAATTAGAAATTGAATGTTTGGCTGACCATCACAGCCTGAAGACTGACGCTGGATAACTTTCTCTGTTTATCTCCTGTTGGATATATGAGAGGCATGTGTGTTTTCAACTCAACAATTACCAACTTCTTTTGATCAAATCCAATCTGTGTGATACAACCTGAGTACTCAATTAAACTGTAGCAATAAAACATGTTAACACTCAATTATTACACACTTTCAAGGAAACCTAGCCTTTTCCATGTGACAAAAATCATTGTGGATTTGGATTTGCTTTTGCTGTCCTTCCTCTGTCAGACTTCAACAATATGTTATGGCCTTACTCATTGGTGCCTGCATAAAATTGCCTCAGACAAATCATGAATTCTTCACCTAGAAGGCTCTAGCCATATAAAACATAAGAATCACCTACTGCCAAATAATAGGGATTGCCACCTGAAAATCTTCTCGATGTTGGTCTGCTCATCTATTAGATGGGCTCTCTCAAACCAGTATACATGGTCAAAAGAAGAAAAAGGTTTAATAGGAATATATAAATAAATTATATAATTTATTTCAAATTTTTACCTCTTCCTACAAATTTGAGTTCTGCTATTTTAGAGATTTTAGCCCTTGTGCTGGTTCCCCTTCTTCAGTAAGCAGATACTGTGGTAGAATCATGAGAGCAAGAGGCTTTGCAGGAGAGATGCATGTGAAAGAAAGAGAAAGAAGCACAATTGAGCAGGGAGGAACTCACATACAATGCAGATCTGGCACAGTCTTAGACAGTCATATGGGATCTCCAAAGCATAAATGAGGCACTTAGAGGAGTCCCATGTTGGACAGAAATGGTGATGCCCTAGTACCTTTGTGGTGTTCAGTTTACAGCTAGGAGACACTTGGTAAGAAAATGGCCTCAACTCAAACACTGTATGCACATCCCCAGATGATATTGCTGAGGGCCATCAGATAGATGCACTATTTGCAGCTGAGTGGCACGTTATTTCTTTTTTTTCTTTTTGAGGCGGAGTCTCACTTTGTCGCCCAGGCTGGAGTGCAGTGGCGCGATCTCGGCTCACTGCAAGCTCCACCTCCTGGGTTCACGCCATTCTTCTGCCTCAGCCTCCCAAGCAGCTGGGACTACAGGCACCCACCACCACGCCTGGCTAATTTTTTGTATTTTTAGTCGAGATGGGGTTTCACCATGTTAGCTAGGATGGTCTCGATCTCTTGACCTCATGATCTGCCCGCGTTGGCCTCCCAAAGTGCTGGGATTATTTCTCAAGAAGAATCTAAGCATAGAACCTCCATGACTGCCACTGACACAAAGATGTAATAAACATTAACTTGGATAATATAATTGTGATTGTCATCTTGCCATATTTAGCTTATTCCATTTGTAAAAAGTCTTAAATGAGGTTAGAGGATAATTAACATTTACGATAAAATATAAATAAAGAACTGCTTTAATAAATGAGGATGGAGAAGGGTGAGCAATTTCTGGAAGCTATCATATCCAGATATGATTAATGGAGACTCTTAAACCCACTAAAAAGAGAGATTCAAAGACTGAGATGCCATCAGAGTGTAAATGTTAGGGTCACTTATCTTGTCAAAAAGCCTTGACCAGCTAAAATAGTAGTTGAAGTAGATAGGAGCATAGACATAATTTTGGGGATTGAAGTCATATATATGGTCTATGACTTGAAAAAAAATCCCTCTACATAAACACACACACACATAGACACACACATACATGTTTGCATAAATATTAGCATTCTTCTACACATGGGTATATGATGCCTAATTTTTCAAAAAAATGTTTTTAGTATCTTTACTATGTAACAGACTGTGTGAAACAACAAAACTAGAGTGGGGGAAAAGACAAATATGGTCCTTATTCTCATTGTGCTTACAGTTCAAGGGAGAAAAGAGAACTTTGGTGGTATCTCAGCTTATTTGTTTAATAACCATGAGCTCCAATTATGTCTTGAGTAATTAAATCCTAGGCATGAAAACTAAACTTTAGGACAATGAATCTAATGTCACCTTTTCTTGGTTAGTACTTACAGGATGGGTAAACATTTTCAGGGACCCATGGAATGTCATGATCTTTAAGGGATGCTTGCTGTATGCATTTATAATTTCTTTTTACATTCACTGTTTTCCAAACTGTTTCTTCCTTTGAATTTTCTTTGTCATCCACTCTGTAATAGGTCCTCATTTTGTTAACCTTAGGCAGTTTTAAATCAAACTGCCTGGAGATCAAGTCTACTCTCACTAACTGTGTGATTTTAGTCAAATTACTTACTTTACGTGATCTCTTATCTGTAAAATGAGAATAGTACTATACTGTAATTACTAACAATACTCTCCTAAAAATTAAAGTGGGTAATGTATGGATGTACAAAAACAATACTTGTCACTTAGTAATTCAACATTACCTTTTTTTATTATTAGCTATCACTTAAATTTTGTAATACCTTTTGAAATTCCAACACCTATCATCCATCACGGATTTTTTTTATTTTCTAGAACATGTTGACTTTTTCCATTTCTCTGCTCAAAAACTAAAATAGATCCCCATTACTTGTATGAAATGGCATCTTGTCTCCTAATATTAAAGGTTTTGAACAATGTGACCTCAATCCCTTTCCTTATTGTAGCAACCATAACCTCTATCCCCATCCAGTATAAAAGGAATATAATTGGATATTCCCATCTCTAATCCTTTAGTTATTCTCTCACTTTTTCCAGAAATCCTTTAACTATATATATGCCTATAGAAATCTGAGGCAGTTTTTATCTTTAACTAAAACCCCTCCTCCTTGTGAAATATAATTAGGTTTTTCCTAAAGAAATAAATATAAAATTCATCTGTCTAAGAGACCATGTTTCATAATAGTTTTATGTAAATGTCTTGCTACCCTACTAGATTGTAAATGGCATATTGGGAGGAGCTCTAGGACCTTTGTAATAATGCATTACTAATGAATGATTAAATGGGAGATTTCAACTTGTTATTTCTACTCTCAAGTTTCAATAGAATGCTGTACAACAGATCTCTTCAACTTATCCCTTCTATCTAACTAAAATTTTATAGGCTTTGATCAACATCTCCCCAAGTTCCCCCTCCCACAATTGTCCCAGCCCCTGGTAACTATCATTCTACTCTCTACTTCTATGAGATCAATATTTTTTAGATTTTACATATAAATGAAATTATATAGTATATATTTTTTGTGTCTGTCTTATTTAACTTAATGTAATGTCTTCCAGGTTCATCCATGTTGTCACAAATGACAGAATTTCTTTCTTATTTTTGAATAGTATTCCAGTATGTATATGTACCACATTTTCTTTACATGTCTTGAATTTAAAATTTTAAAATGTTGGGTTCAGTAATCTCTGCACTATGAATTAGCTGAATCTTCATAACTGGTCAGAAGCATGATCTTATAACTGCTTCCTTCAGCTCCTCATGCTATCAAATTTATCTGTCAACTATGTTTAATGTCTGATAAACAGAAAATTTTCTATGAAAGGTATAAAAGTGGCTTTTTAAAAGAAATCGGTCAAATCATCACCAATATCATACGAATTTTATTAAGGATTAAAAAGCACCTCGTGTTTAGTGTTGTTTAACTTTTGAAACTAATTGTTTATGATTCTTTTTAAGTCACAAAGACACATTTAAAATTCTTAATTGGTAAACAAATTGGATATTATGGAAAGTTGAACAATCAGCAAAAACAACTCATAATAAAACAGTTTTTGTTATGTATGCACATATATGTGTATGTGTATATATATACACGTATATATACATGTATATATATACACGTATATATACATGTATATATATGTATATATACACGTATATATACATGTATATATATGTATATATACACGTATATATATACACACACAGTTTTCTACTAACAGGAATACTTTGAAAGTAAGCAATGATGACTAGAATGGGGTAGCGAGAAATAAATAGATGATTTTATAAACCAATGAAACGACCAATAATTGTCTATGAATCTAATTCTATTCCGTATATTAAAAAAACTCTAACATGATAAGAATTTAATTACATGCATTAAATAATATAGAGTTACATTTTCTTGTTTCTTTGAATGTTAATAAAGGAGATGACATATAATAGCATGAGATTTTCTTCTCTTGTTATTTAATGTGCTGAGCTAATGTGTAAAGCCAACATTTCCTGTTTTGTCACATTAGCTATTTGTGTTTCATGATGCAAAATTGAATCAGGTTTTATTACTTTGAAAATATTTAAAAAATATATATCATTTTCTTACTACATTAGTTATTTATTTCCCTTCATACATAGAATGTCATAGTCTTCTGCTTGTAACACAGTAGCTGCTACAAAGGCCATAGTGATTTTACAGGGAAGCTTTAAAAAAATAAAATCTGAAAAAAAAGAAGTTATGAGACAGATGATATTATAGATAAACCAGAAGGGAAAAAATAAACAAAATCTGGAAGCTTTGCTTTGTTTATGACATGAAAAAATAACCGTAAATCAGAATGATACTTGACAAAAACACTGCAGTTCAGTTTGTTAATAGTTCTTAAACTGAATTTCAAATTAGATGAACTAAAGTAACAATGTTTGAGGTATGAATTGAAATTATATTCAAAGTGAAGATTGCATGTACTTGACTATTGATGGGCAAATATGTAAGTAACATTGTATAAACTACAACAATAAACATATTTTGTTTGAAGGTAGAAGCTGAATAAAAAATTCATGACAATAGAGATTTATTTAGAATTTCAAATTGAATAATATGCCCAATAAGTATGGCAATGTAAATGTAGGAATGTACTTTATGATTAAACAAATTAAAATTGGTCAGTAGTCATATAAATTTTTTATAAGTATTCATAGTTACAATTGCAAGTTGCTAGGAACTTGTAAATTCTTCATTTTGTCAAAACAATTTTTTAGGAAATAATTCCTATTAAATACAAATATACTTATAATAAAAATTTCAAAAATCATAAAATATAACAAAATGCGTAGTTTTTGCGTAATTTTTTCCAATAAATGCTGTGTTAAGTGGGTTTAATTTTTGAAACTGGATAGTTAATAAAGTCGGTTTGAAATCTTTGTGTGCACATTTAACATTTGTGCTATACTTTGTTTTTTGTAAATTATACCTTTAAAAACATTAATTTATATATTACATGTGTATCTACTTTCATGTCAACCGTCTCCATTCTTTTATTTTTATTTTTATTATTTTTAGACGGAATCTCACTCTGTCACCCAGACTGGAGTGCAGTGGCACAATCTCAGCTCACTGCAACCTCTGCCTCCCCAGTTCAAGCAATTCTCCTGCCTCAGCCTCCTGAGTAGCCTTAATTACAAGTGTGCATCACCACATCTGGCTAATTTTTGTATTTTTAGTAGACACGGGGTTTCACCATGTTGGTCAGGCTGGTCTTGAACTCCTGACCTCGTGATCTGCCTGCCTCAGCCTCCCAAAGTGTTGGGATTACAGGAATGAGACACCATGCCCAGCCAACAGTCTCCATTCTTAATTATGACATAATTACTTATTTGTTTTCTCAGCCATACATGTATTTTCATTATCTGAATATTAACAACAATTGTAGCAACAAAAATATATTTACTTTAGTTTAATATTATTTTTACTGTTTATTTTTTCCACAAGACTTATTTAATTAGGTATATAAGATCAAATTACAATGTTTTAGAGTAACTTGAAATAGTTCCTCTGTCTGTTATATAACCAATTAGATATAAAGGTAGGGTAACTTATTTTGCATTCAAATTTAGTTATTTTATTTTAAATTTAATTAAGTTTTATACTTGTATAAAATTTTAATGTGGACCCAAAGTCAATTTTTTTAAAAAGCTATAATTAAAGAAGTCTAGTATCTATTATAGTACCCTCTACCTTACCTTCTCCCATTTTATTTCATGATTCATCTTGCTATATTCTTGTACATAATTGAATTTCTATTTCTAGCCTTCCTTTTGTAAATTAATGTTAGTGAATAATAAAATATTCTTTATTTACACTTTTATTTATTTCACTTAATGAAATATCCTAATGATATTTCATAATAGTATATATAAATACTCCTCCTTGTTTTTGTGGCTGTACTCTGTTGTGAGGGAAGCATCAAAGGCTGTTTGACTCATCTTCTAGTGGTGTGCATTTGGATTATTGCCACTCTGCAGTCTTTACAAATACAGTTAATGTCAAAATTAATGTCAATAAAATTAAAATGTTAATGCATTTTACAATTTTGTCACTGTATCTTTGGGATATATTTTTTAGAGCTTGCTGAGTAAAAGTGTTTAAGAATAAGTAGTATTTCTAGATGTTGGCAGATTTTATTTCAGGACGATGGAACCATTTAGCCATCCCAGAAATGATGTATATTTACTTTTTTACAGTTCACCAAGAAAGTATGTTGTTGAACTTGGATTTTTGCCATGCAAATAGGCAAGGAACAGTATCTCATATAGTTTTAATTTTTATTCGTTTATTATAAGTAAGAGAAGGCATATTATTTTGTTTAGATCCATTTTTTGAACTGTTTAGAAACTTCAATTTTTTGTTGTTAGTAATAAAATGTTACCTTCTAAGGGCATTATTTTTTATGATAAAAGATGGTTGGTTAAAAAAGGTTTCTACATGTAGAAATTGTCAGAGTTCAAAAGAGTGGTTTTAACTTATTCTGAAAACAATTATTAGGTTGGTGCCAAAGTGATTAAAAAAATGGCAAAAACCACAATTACTTTTGCACCAACCTAGTATCATTGATCTTCCATGTGCAAGTCACTCGTCTAGGTACTAGTAACAATGTGATAAGCAAGATAGATATAGTTCTTGCTCTCATGAGCCATGGAATGAGCCATGGTTTGGTGAAAGAAACAGGCAATCAATAAGTAAAGAAGTGATCAAACAGAAAAAGAAGTGATCAAACAGAAAAATTTCAAATATTGTTAACTACTAGTTTATTAAAAGCAGAGATTGTTGGGGATGGGATAGTGTTTAATAAAGAGCTTTCACTGACGATCTCTTTGAGGAAGTGACTTTGGGATTCAGACAAAAAAGAGAGAGAGAGCTATTTGATGTTCTTAAAGAAAAGCAGAAAGATACAGCAAATGTGAAGACCTGAAATCCGTAAGGAACTGGCCAGTTTGGTGCACACAAAGATGTCCCATTGGCTTTAAATGTCACATGCATTAGAGTGGCATGGATCAAATAAAAAAGGAGGGAGTTGGCCGGGCGCGGTGGCTCACGCCTGTAATCCCAGCACTTTGGGAGGCCGAGGCGGGTGGATCACGAGGTCAGGAGATCGAGACCATCCTGGCTAACATGGTGAAACCCCATCTCTACTAAAAATACAAAAAATTAGCCAGGCATGGTGGCAGGCGCCTATAGTCCCAGCTACTTGGGAGGCTGAGGCAGGAGAATGGCATGAACCCAGGAGGCAGAGCTTGCAGTGAGCCGAGATTGCGCCACTGCACTCCAGACTGGGTGACAGAGCAAGACTCCATCTCAAAGAAAAAAAAAAAAAAAAGAGGGAGGTGCCAGATCATTTACCATTCTGAGATTCTGAGACATATAATTAAGGTGTTCAATTCAATTCTAGGTTTATAGGAAGCTATCAGAGGCTTTTATAAGAGGGAAATTATAATTAATGCCCTTATAAAGATAACTCTGGCAATGATGTAGGGAACACACTGGAACTGCACGGCAATAATGTACACAGAGATGCCAGTAAAAGGCTATTGCAAGAGTTCAGGTAAGAGGTGATGGCTGCATCAGCATTCTTTCAGAAATTCCTGCATTGGTTCTCCAAAATCTCAATAAAATACAGTCCTGCTCCTCAAATTCTTCATGTTTTAAAACTGTTTATCAATAATACTGAGAGCTTATTATATGCTAGGCACAGTTCCAAGATTTTACATGAGTCAATGCATTTAAACCTTCCAGTTTTATGAAGTAGATAATCATATTACAGAAGTAATTGAACTCCAGAAAGGTTAGCTAAATTGCCCAGGTCATACATCTGGAAGCAATGAGCATTTGAATCCAGATTGTCTTCACTCTGGCCTGGAATTTTTGTTGATGTTGCATAGAAAAACTCTTGCAGTTAAAAAAGTAGGTAGTGTTAAAATCTATAATCACATTTAAAAATCACTCTAAGAATATATTTAAGATTGTAAATATATTAGCTCATTTCAATACTGATTTTACCTCTATTATTAGCCAGTTAAAATTAGAAAATATTTTATTATAAAAGTCATATGTCTTGGGAATTGTTAAATGAAAGTTTTTACTTACAGTATAATTTATAAATATAGATGCAAAAGAATCAAATATAGACATTTCTGTCTTCAGTGAAAATTTAAACATTAGACTATTTTGTTACATTTAAAATAATGTTCACAAAACGTGTTTAAACTAGATTTTTAAAAAGGTTTGGGGAAATGATTAGAATGATGATAAAGTTACAAGCACATTATACTACTTGTAACTATAAAAGATGTAACAAATGATCTAAGTACATCATTTGTAGTTACAGGTAGTATAAGGGGGCAGCCACATTTTCTGCAGCTGGTTAGTTAATGCTAAAGATAAGCATGCTAAACATTTGACTATGAGAGCACGCTGGCTTTAAAGGGAATTGAGACATGCAGGACTTCATGTGCATTTCCTTTTGAGTACAACAGTATCACTCTCCAACACAGACACACATTCACCTTTAAAAAACTGTAAGTTGAAATGGCTAAAATTTTTACTGCTATCGTGAAATAATTAGTATATAAAACCAATTTTTGGAGCAAACAAATTGTACATATATGAAAAATTACATTTAGTAATAAGTAATAAAGTTAGTCAACATAAGATAAAGTTACTTTCTCTCATTTTCTGATGATTCATCTTTGGAAGCATGTTTGTTTATTTCCCACTTTGGGATCGTTTTTACTCTGAATATTCATTAAGCAGGGTAGTTTTTACTGCAGGACCATCACTATTTTTCAGAGGACTCTGTTGTTGAAAAATAAATATTGGGTTAAAACCACAATGAGATACCACCTAACACCCACTGGAAGGGCTACCATCAAAATGATGGTAAATAATAAGTGTTGGTGAGAGTGTGGAGAATGTAGGACCCTCCTACATTTCTGGTGGTAACGTAAAATGATATAGCTGTTACAGGAAGGAGTTTGGTAGGTCCTCAAAAAATTAAACATAGAATTGCCATATGGCCCAGAAATTTCACTTCCAGTTATATACCAAAAAGACTTGAAAAACAGGTACTCAATATTTATTCATATTGAATATTCAAATATTTATTCATATTCATATGAATACTTCATGCCAGCACTATTCATAAGAGCCAAAAGTCAAAAAACTTAAACATCCATCAACTGATGAATGAGGAAGCAAAGTGTGGTCTATATGTACAATGGAACATTAGTCAACCATACACAGTGTACAATGTACAATGTACATATGTACAATGGAACATTAGCCAACCATAAAAAGTACTACATCAAAACTACTATTCTGTGCTAAAAGTAGGTGAAACTTGAAAACATGCTAAGCAAAAGAAGACAGAAACAAATGATCTTATATTGTGTTATTTCCTTTATATGAAATATTTAGAATTGGCAAGTCCATAGAGATGGAAAACAGATGGGTGGTTGTCAGTGCTGGAGGAAGGAGGGTGTAGAGAATGATTGTTGAATGATACGGGGTTTTCTTCTAGGGTAATGGAAATGTTTAGAACCTCATAGAGATAATGTTCGCACAGTATTGTAAATGTACTAAATGGCAATGAATTATACGCTTTGAAATCATCAATTTTATGTTACATGACTTTCATCTCAAAACCAAAGAAAATATAAAATATATAAAATTTTGTCAATAAATAAGAAAAAATGACAGAGAAAGAAAATAAATACATAAACATTTGGCATAAAAATGAAATGTCATTTCTTAGGCACTAAAGTGTCGTAATTAGAGAGTGTATGAATGGCTCATAACTTCACTTCTAGTAAAGAAACCGTAAACATTTTAATGGGACTCAAAACACTACAATGTGCTGAGACATGATAAAAATAATAAGATGTGATATAAATCAATACTGAAATGGCAGACTGAAGCCATTTTGATCACAGAATTGTGTTTGTGTGAATAAAATCTCTGGATGAAATGTAGCAACAGAAAGTACTACAATCATTTAAAAATAAAAGATAATAATGAAGATGCCTGTGTGTATTAAACGAACAATCCCCATCCTTTTTGGCACCAGGGACTGGTTTCGTGGAAGACAATTTTTCCCCAGTTTGGTGGAGAAAATGGTTTCAGGATGAAACTGTTCTACCTCAGATCATCAGGCATCATATTCTCGTAAAGACCTCACAAACTAGATCCCTGGAGTTCGCAGTTCACAGTAGGGGTCACATTCCTATGAGAGTCTAATGCCTGCAGATCTGACAGGAGGTGGAGCTCAGGCAGTAATGCTCGCTGGCCTGCTGCACACGTCCAGCTGTGTGGACTGTTTCCTAACAGCCCACCAACCCACTAATTCTAGTCCTTCCCATCTGAGTCATGTTATTTTTGGTGATAAAGAGTTTTGTTGTGGTGGTGGTTGCTGTTTGAGACAGGGTATCACTTTGTCACCCAGCCTGAAGCTGGCTACTAATTTTTAAATTTTGTGTAGACATGGAGTCTAGCCATCTTGACCTGGCTAGTCTTGAACTCCTGGCCTCAAGCAATTTTCCTGCTGCAGACTCCCAAAGTGCTGGGATTACAGGCATGAGCCACCATGCCCGACCACAAATGTGTTTCAATTGACTAAATAGTGCTGGGGTTACAGGTGTGAACCACTGCACCCACTAAGAATTTTTTTGGGAAAAACTTTTATTATTTTGAATAAGTCTTTATGTTGCTTTAATTCTTTCAAGTCACCTGTTTATTCCTTAAGTTCCCAGCTAGCATCAATTTTCAAGTATGTCTTAAAGTCCCACAAGTGAATTCAGTGCTGTGATGTGCTGTATTCTCTAGAAGATTTTTTTAAAAAGAAAAAACAAAAATCTAAGCAACTACATCTCTTCTTACAAAACCTAAAGAATTCATGTGCATTATAATTCTTAATCTTAATGATTAAATAAAAAGAAAAAAGATACTAGTATGTACCAAATTGGAGAATATTGAATCAATTTTTTAAAGATAAAGAACAGATAAAATTTTCAGAAAATAAAATTATTAGTATACCATAAAATATTTAATTAAAAAATATAAATGCTTAACATTCACCTTTAAGGTAGGTACCATTATCATCCTAGCTGATAAAATAAAGAAACTCAGGTACAAAAGATACGATATTTTTCAAAAACATATTAGCAAAATAAAGAAATTAATTTGAATCCATGTAATATAGTTCCAGAATAAATAGTGAATCTAGTTGCCTTTTACGAGTATTATAACAGTATATGTATGTGGTAAATCTTATATTTTGCCCAAATTTAAGAAAACAAAGCTTATTACAGATCTATGTAGATATAGATGGTTTTACATGTATATATATATTTGAAATATTCTGATACAATTCACCATGCAAGACTCAAAGCAATTCCATTGAAGTGACATAAAAAATAATTTTGGAATATTCTTTTCTGAAATAAATTGTAGACATTGCAATTGATTCAGTGACAGCATGAGGGCATCCTAAGATCATGGATATAGTCATTTAATCATGTATACTGGGCTTCAAATGTATCATGCAGGCATATTTCTTTTATTAATACAAAATCACTTTTAAAACAGTCTGTCATCCTGCAATATCTGACAGATGAAAATTGAAACCTTTACAACAAAATATATATTTGTTAAATTTCATGGAATACCTTATCATAACATTTTTGACTTTTATTTATTTTCATACTTTTCCTTATATTACATTAACATTAATATCATAGATGCTATTGGAACATTTGTTCCGTCCTTTTGTGAGAATTCCTGATCAAAGTAAAGTGATACTTGCCTGGCACCTATGCTTCCTCTCCATCCCCTATTTTCCCAGCTGATAAAAGTAGAGCAACACTTTATCTATACTTGGGAGTCAGAATCTCTGCATTGATAACTTAATCCAGAAGGTATAGAGACTGGAACCTGCAGACATAGGTGCATTAAAATCTCCTGAGTTCTGCATTACTGAAATAGAAATAGTTCCTGTAATCTATTTAATACCCTAGAAAACGTCCAACATATTACTTTTTATTTTTTAAACTTTGGTTGTATAACATGTTTTTATTAAAGTGAAAATAAAAATTGACTTAATGGAATGAAACTGATGTTTAAAAAGTAATTGATACTCATTATCAAATAAAATAGAACATATTGAAGCAATTACTTTATTGATAAAGAATATTTCACATGTACTGAAAAATATGAATTTTTTAAATAAAATTGATATCTATAAAAGAGCATTTCAGCATACATTTTAAAGTCAGACAAAATTGTACTTGATAAATCATGAAATATGTGTGTTAGTGTACTAATTTTTAAAGTAAGGTAGTAAAAGCTTATTATGGCATTTTAGTAAAGAATCAAAATATGGAAATTACATACTTTAGTATATGGAACATTAAAAGTTATCAATAAATTTAGTTGTTATTAGTATTTTCAACATGTTTTCCATTTTTACAAGGAATTTATCATTACTTATCCTACATTCTTACTTATGAAAGCAATAATAAATTATTTTAACAGCATAGTTTAGCTTTTCATTTCTAAACAATTATCAGAGCTATATTTCAAACTTTTATATTTGCTTGAAGTAAGAAGCCACTTTATTTTGAAATCTAAGGCAAAATAAAAATGCAAGCTTAGTGTGAAATCTCACATCCTTAAAATTCAGATATCTGACAACTGGAAAATGTTAAAACTATAAAATAATAGCAGGCAAACACTCTAGTAAGCAATAATAAAAGATACAAAGAAATACTGATAGATCACATCTGCTCAGTGAGTAATCTGCTGTGTGTGTGTATCTGTGACACAGAGAGAGAGAGAGAGAAAGAAAGAGAGTGATATGATTCATTCTGAAGTAATAGTCATCATGGTAATATCTTGTGCCAAACTGACATATATATATATGTTTTGCTCACTTTTCTATTTTCTCACCATCACTAGCTAGGCTTATAGTAAGAACCTAATATAACTAGCTTACATTTTCATCCTTACAACAAGACACCCAGGCTAAGGGTGTATATGAAATGTGTGTATGAAAACACATTTTAAAATGAATATGTACAGGATAATTTCATGCTAACATATACATATTTATACCTCAATACATTTTTGACAAGTCATTTAATAGTGCTCTATAACATGTATATTAACATTGGAATAATAAGTTGAGAGCTAATTCTCTCTAAGTCTCTCATGTTTCTGCATCTCATTTGAGCCTTTGTTACTGCATGACATGCAAGTCTTGGTTCCAAACTCTCTTTTCAAGAACAGTTTCATAGCAGTGTACCTCGGAAAACTGATATAGTGTCCCTTTGTGGTGCAAAGGGCAGGCAGGCATGCTTACTGTCCAGTAAAAGAAAAATGTCTCCCTCCTGAACTAAGGTTTGGCATGTTCACTGCCATTATAAAATTTTCAGGTTTTCTAAGCTCAGAGCCCCTGTCCTGTAAAGCAATCTACTCCATATGCAAGCATGCTTTCAGGCCCATATGCAGCAGTCTTATGGGACTATGGGGTGCAAGAAAAATCAATACATTATATTGTTTTTCCAAAAACAAACAAATATATTGATACTTATGTGTGATAAAGTCCTCTGTCTCTGACCCAGGAGTTGTGGGACTTCTGCCAGCATTTATTAAACTGTGCTAGGATAACTTGTTATGTTGTACACAGGATAAAAATCTCAGATCTTTTATATTTCTTGATAGTTTTGATACATGATTCTATAATTAAAGGACATGACTTTCTGGAAGATGAAGGATGGGGGCCTTTTGAGGCAATTAATAGGAACCCAGAGAAGTCCATGGGAATAGATAGTTGAGATGTTAACAAATCATATGGTACACAGGGCAGTAAATGATGCTTCCTATTTTATGCTGTTAATGAGAATAAATTGAGAAGTGGTTCCAAGCCAATTGTTAGAAACAACAGACAACGACAGAGGCCTGAAAAGTACCCTGTTTGTTACTTTCTATTCTTTGAGAGGTGGGGATTAGCAGAATTTAAGAAAAATAGAAGATGGGATGAGGATAGCTTGATGCTGACTTCCAGATTGGTCAGCATCAAGCTATCCTCATCCCATCTTCTATTGCTAATATTCCAGCCCTTTTCAGGAAACAGTTACAAAGATGTGCACAGCATTAGTCCATTCTCACACTGCTAATAAAGACATACCCAAGACTGGGTAATTTATAAAGGAAAGAGGTTTAATTTACTGACACTTCAGCATAGCTGGGGAGGCCTCAGGAAACTTACATTCGTGGTGGAAGGAGAAGCAAACATCCTTCTTCACATGGCGGCAGCAAAGAGAAGCACAGAACAAAGGGAGGGAAAAACCCCTTGTAAAACCATCAGATCTCATGAGAACTCTCTCTATTACAAGAACACCATGGAGCTAACCAACCCCATGATTTGATTACCTCCCACTGGATCCCTCCCATGACGTGGGGATTATGGCAACTACAATTCAAGATGAGATTTGGGTGGAGACTCAGCTAAACCATACCATCCACCTACATTGAATGTGAAAGGAAGAGAATTTCCTCTCTAGGGAAAACACAGGCAAAAACTTGTTACTTTTGATTGTTGACCTGAGATATTGGGGAAAGGGCAGATCATATGTGTAAAAAAGCAAAACAAAACAAAACAAAACCAGAAAACAGCAGGGCCATTTTATGGCTCCAAGTCTTCTATGGTCCAACCTTCCAAATTTGGATCTATGGAGATGACAATGAAAGTTATTGGAGTGATGTTTTGTTTTTGTTTTTGTTTTTAAGGTGTACTTGGTCCTATGAAGTGAGGTCTGGCCTTTGCAAAGACAGTTTTCAGTGACAGAAAAACCCTTGTGTCAAACCATAGATAAAGCAATGAGTCTAGACTACCATTTTAAAAAGGTGATCCACAGTAGAATGAAAAGCTGGCCCAGTGAAATCTAAATAATTCTTACAGTCAGTCTACCACTGTGAAAAATTCCACTACCTCTCATGTTAAAACCAGATGAAAATTTAAGGAATGCCACTTTGATAATGGGGCAGCTAATGCCCCAAAATAGAGTCCTCATAGAAATTCACTGCTCTGTGAGACAGGCCCAAGTAAACCAATGGGTACAAACCCCAAAACCCCAGCCAGAAGATAGTGCATTATGGCTGTTGAGTCAAGGGATTCCCAGAACTGAAACAATCACATCAGTAATGATTACATTGTTGTTTCACAGATAGTTGGAGTAGACAGAAATCATCAGAAATTAATTTGGATGAACAGTGAGCAGCCCATTTAGCAACAGCATTACATGAAGAAATGATTATCCCTGTGGTGGCAATGTTACACTACATGAAGCAAAGCTATGAAATCAAAGGAGCCCTTGGTTCTCAGAAGTTTCTCTAAAAATCTGGGTCTGATGCACTGTAAGTTTGGCAAAACTGCAATCTGATTGCGTTCATGATGCTGCTGTGGATATTCAACCTTAGGGCCAGTCTGTACACTGATAAATGTATATGATTACTCTCCTCAGTGGGCGAAACCCAAGGTCATTTTTACAGCCCTGGGCATTACCACTTTCATAAACTTGTAATGTTTTTACTGACTTTTGGACCGTAGATACATTCTCAGCTATTTGTTCTGCCACTTGGGAAAACTACAGACAGCCTGACAGATTAAAGTCACTCCTCTTTGGGATCAGAATTTTATAAACAAATTGTGGCTTCTAATTTAACCATCTGTGACACTCAGATGCATTCCCAAAATAAGAGCCTACTCTCTGATGAATCTGTCTGGAACTCAGTTACAGATTGAGCCTAGAATACTCAGATGGCTACTTTGCGGCTTGGGCCCAACATTGTACAAGGCATAGAAACAGATGCACTGTTATAGACTAGGAACAAATAAAGGACTCCATGTTTCTGATGAAGTGTTTACCACCATATTCACAAGTTATAACTCCTAAGGCTGTGCATAGTGGCTTATGCCTGTAATAAGGGCACAATGGGAGGCCAAGGTAGGAGGATCTCTTGAGGCAAGGAGTTTGAGAATAACCTGGACAACATAGCAAGACCCCATCTCTAAAATAAAATTAAAAAATAATTGTAACTCCAGCTAAAAGTTACTTGTTGGACTCCACCTAATCTTGGGCACTTGCTACTACATTATCATCATAACATTTCTTAAATTTTCATCTAGTTTTAACATAAAATGTAGGAGAGTTTCCCAGAGTGGCAAGCTGAATGTAAGAATTATTAAAATTCCATTGGGTCAGTTTCTCCTTTTCCTGTGGGCCACTTCTTTTTTCCAGAAGTTCCAGAGGCCACATCACCTGGCTTGTGGTTCCTGCCTACTCTTGACAGATACAATTCAGCAGGACTTTGGCCTCTTCTTGGGGCTTAACACCATAAACTTGTTTTTAGGTTACAGAGTTGCTGTTCTAGTCTGATCAACTAACTCCAGCCACACCATTATTGTTCTTGAAACTAATCAGTCATGTTTTCAGCAATTGGTGTCATTTTCAGTCTGATAATGGTATGCCTTTCATTGCAAAAGTCACTCAACAATGGGCTGATAGTCAAGGTTTTTGAGGAAACTATCACTCTCCTTGTTAGCCAAGATCAGCTAAAAAAGATATCTGATTTGAACTCCTTGATCTCTTTCTGGTTCACATATCTAAGGAAGGAAACTATGTCATTTATTTAATTCAGCTGTTTGCATAAAGTAATTTCCTCTAGGCCCACCCCTAGGTAATGATCAAATAAAAGTGGTGGTAAGTAATCTAAATGAATTTTCAAAATTTGGCATCTCATCACGGTCAAACCAGTGGATGAGGCATCATTCTTTTCCTTAACAGCAACTCTAAAATGGCCTGATTACTACATCTCCCTGGTGTCTAAATGGCCAAAAAGGAGCACAGGGCATTAATTCTGGTTTTGCTCTTTCATCCTGTAGTTGGATTGACATGGTCTTTGGTCATGAAGATAACCTCTTGTTTTAGCACGCTGTTCACCAAGTTCCTTTGTCATGGTCATAATGCATCTATGTAACTCTCATAAAAATATCCTTCCCGAAGATTGCAACTTACCCCTCCAGACCAAAGGTCTAGAGGCAAGTTGGGGGTGATTGGAAAAAAGTAAATCTCTAGCTATCTGAGTAAGTTAAGCCAATTTTGTGATTGTGGACTGAGAACAACCACCTTGTCAGGGAAGTAGGCAATACTTCAGACCTTGAAATGTACAAGGCAGAGAAGGGCATCCATGATATTTTCCTTTCAGTATTACCTTTTCCTCATTAAAGAAAACACTCTGGTTTAATGCTTAATGCTTCCAATATGGTTCATGCACCTAAAATTTAATTGGCCACTAAGTTTTTCTTCTTCTGCCATATAGTTTTGATTATGTTTTGATCACCATTTCTCTAAACTTTCCTAAGAAGTCGTTCCCAAATCAAAAGTGATGGGTTTAGTTCCTGGATCTCTACCCAGCATACCTGCCAAACCCTCTGGATGTGGTTCCATGGGCTATCATTAACACTCTTAGGTCTATATATCGTATATGGAAACTAGGCATTAAACTTCCTCTCTCCTGAAAACATGGAAACTTGCTTCTTCTTTTTAGAGTGGTCATAAAAGACCTATGTGTTTAAAGAAACATGTCAGTAGACCTTCTGATGACTGGAGATCTCTCCAAAATGTTGCTACTCTTAGTTATACTATGATGCTTCCTGTAGGGATAACTGGCTCATTTTTATGTGTACACTGCAGGCAGTTACTCTTACCATGGGAATCATTCCTGTTAAAAAAATGTGGTAAGAAATCTGTCCCTTTCTTTGGCTCAAGTGATAAATCATCTCACCTTGGCCATGGAAACCACCGAAGTCAATCTCAATTATATGTTTCTTGTTGTTATGAGTGATAAAATTTCCCTTTGTAGTCAAAATAAAAGTCTATGCATTGTGAATATATCCTTCTGTGCCTTGATTAATACCTGGGCCAAAGGAAAGATCAATACAAGAACTTAAAAATAAAGCCAAATGGATTTCTAATATAGACCCAGATGTTATATGATTTGTTTAGTTAGTTTGTTTCAGAGACTCTGGGGGTAAGCTCACCAGATAAAACACAGGACGTTTACATATATTCAAATATCATATAAACAATAAAGAATGTTTTATTACAGGCATGCTGCATGCAATATTAGGAACATACTTATATTTTAAAAAGCGTTTATCTGAAATTCGAGTTAGCTGGATATTCTGTATTTTTATGTGTTAAATCTAGCAACTCTTTGTTGTGAGAGGTATTGTTGAAATCATTATTACAGGATGGCCTTATTCTTTTTCTTGAAGTCCTGTTGATGTTTGCCTTAATTAAATGCTGCATGAGTAAAATCGAATGGGTTTGATCACAAACTCTATTGGACAGATTAATCAAGGTAGCATACTCATGGATAATTTACCTCAATCAAGACATTGTAAGAGGAAGGGATAGATGTTTTTGAAAGACAATTTTCTATTGTCACTTGCATGAAAGCACATTTTTATATACCTGTTTCAAAAAGTGCATTTTGTATATAACTATCTGTATCTAATTAACATATTTTACCCTTTATACATAATTTACAAAGGAGCCAGGAACAATTTCTTTTGTATCCAGCTTATAACGAGTGCTTGTAATACTGTGTCTTCCTAATAAATATTTTCAAATTAAGTTATAACTACATGAATTTAAAAATAAATGAATGAATTACCATAAAAGAATATAATTACTATCACATACATAGAACTTCTGTGTTTTTTCATCAGGACAATGTATTTATAACTTCTGCATATAAACAAGTTTGTCTATTATCATCTAAATATTT
Organism: Homo sapiens; assembly: GCF_000001405.40. NCBI lineage: Eukaryota > Metazoa > Chordata > Mammalia > Primates > Hominidae > Homo > Homo sapiens. The sequence continues at coordinate 86,093,457 of NC_000013.11, forward strand.
AAAATATGACACTGATGTATTATTAAGCATGATGGACTAGAGATGAAATTCAATATAATCTGGATTAATGTAGTGCCACATCCAAGTGGGGTTAGTTAGAAAACTCAAGAAGTAACTTCTAATCAATTGTTGTAGTGGACTTTTATTGAAGTAACATAAGGAGAGTCGATACTACCAAGTATCTGTCCCAGTGTTCTCTGAGAATTCCTGATCAAAACAGGGTTAGATTTCTGCCAACTATGCTTTCACTATATAATTCCTCTATAGGAGTTGTTAAATTATATTGTATTTCTCTCTGTCTTTGTTGTTTTTTAGCATGTGGTTGTGAAGTTAAATGTAGAGTGAGTGCCTTATTATTAAATGATTCTTTCTGAAAAACTCTACCTTGGATGACTGTACTTCATTCCAGACGAGGTTATTAATATTGTAGATGCCATTAAAATGGTTTGAATTCATAAATTAATAGTAAATCAATTTCCTGTTGCCATCTATATTGATTTCAAAAATTATTCCCAAAACCTTTAGTCAAAATTTCAAGTAAAATAATTCTGATGTGTTTATATGGTGCCTTTATTGACTCTTAACAATACAGTATGTGCATCACTGCAAATCACAGCACATTCTCATAATGAATAAAAATTAATTTGTTTGTCATCCCCAATTAGAATTAGAACCAAATTTTATTTAATGAGTGTAATTTACCCAAGCAATTGAGGTTAGTCATTCAGCTCAAGTTTTAAAACTCACACAGACCACTTTCTGCTCTGCCTACTTCATAATACTTTTGAGTTCTATCCAAACAGGTCCCATGACTCTATTTCCCACACTTGCCTTAGTCACTCTAACTTCATGACTTGATTTGTACATATTACTTGGAAATTCCATGTCACTCATGATCCGGCTATCTACAAGAGAGATTCCTCAATTGTAGGCTAGTGATACTTCAAACTCTCTTTAATCTGACAATAAATTATTAAAACAAGTAGAGCTGGTGTTGTTCTGTGTGAACATAAGTAGAAACACAATGTATGAGGAATGTGTTTTCTGTTTTTATTCTTTAACTAATTAATTTTTTTTGGTGTGCTTCATCGATTGAAAGGGACTGTATATAGTAGCTTTTGGAAAACCAAAGAGAACTTTAGTTCCTTTCACTGTATTTCATAATAGTGAGGTTTTCCTCTAGTAACTGTCTTTCATTTTACAGAGATTCCAAGAATAAGGTTTATGTCTGAAAAAGCAGGTTGAAAATGTCAAATTTGCAGAAGAGTAGGAAAGGTACAATGTGGTGACCCAGAAGTGCAAATGAAGCTATAAAACTTGCATAAAATATTTAAAATTTAGAAAATAAGTAAATTAGAAAATTAGAGGCTGGGCGCGGTGGCTAATGCCTGTAATCTCAGCACTTTGGGAGGCCAAGGCGGGTGGATCATGATGTCAGGGGATCAAGACTAGCCTGGCTAACATGGTGAAACCCCATCTCTACTAAAAATACAAAAAAAAAAAAAAAAAAAAAAATTAGCCGGGCATAGTGGCACATGCCTGTAGTCCCAGCTACTCAGGAGACTGAGGCAGGAGAATTGCTTGAACCTGGGAGGCGGAGGTTGCAGGGAGCCAAGATCGCACCTTTGCATTCCAGCCTGGATGACAGAGCGAGACTCTGTCTCAAAAAAAAAAAAAAAAAGGAAGAAAGAAAATTAAGAGAAATTAGTGTCCTTGGATTTCTACCGTATTATTTGCCTCTTAATATATCCTGTGGCTTCAATAATGTGTGAATATATAATATCTAATAATATAAATTATAAAGTATTAGGAGGATTTTTGTGAGGATCTACAAAAGTGACATTATTTTAGCATGTTTATTTTCAAACATTCAGCTCATAATGGGGAATTCCTTCAACATTGCAGGAAAATGACTGACAGAAGCCTTGTTTCATACTCTCTTTGATGCAGTTGGCATGAGACTTGGAGTTTAAAAAAGGCCTTTGTAAGTAAAAGGTTGAATTGTATGAAAGGCAGTTTATACGGTCTATAAGTATCCGTAAGGGAGTTTGTTTCTGCTCTTTATAATCTGCCCTTTTGACAAACTAAAATGATTTTAAAAGAAAATGATTACTAACATAGTACATTTCACTATGGAAGAACAGTGAGCTATACATTGAGATAAAGGTCAACTATGGCTATTGGTTAAATCTGCAGGAGCCAGCAAATGAAAGAGCTGTCACTGCTGAAGGAAAGAAATGTGAAATGAATGTCTCACCAAATCCTTCACAGACCTCTAACGGGAGAGCTCACAACTATCAGGTTGAATGGAAAGTACTAATAATACTCCATTAGTCGCCATTATATGGAAATAGTGGAAAAGTTAGGGTAGCATGGTCCTTCAACAACAGGGAGTTCTTTTATAGTCTTTTCTGAAGAGTGTCATAGTGAGTTTTAGAAGTAATTCAGAACTAAAGCTTAGTGATGTCATTTTATGTAGGCCTGTCTTCTGACATTTTTGTTTAAAGAGAATCTTATCTTACAAATTGGGTAAATATATCCCAACTCATTCCAGCATTTTGAACTAGGTAGAGCTTCCATTTTTTTCAATATTTATTTGACTTTACCTCTCTCCAGTTCTTTATGAAGATAAGTTTTTTATTTGTAGTCCTAGAGTTGGTTATGGCTCTCACATTAAATCAGTGATTAAAATATCAGTGTCTTGGAAAATTTAGAAATTAGACACATTCTTACAGTATTGTTGGAAGTACACATTGATAATTCTTTCTTGGAAATGCTTTTATAAGATATATATGAAGATCCATAAGAAATTGGCCCATTGATTCTATGTCTAGTTAAGAACTGAAAAAAGGAAACAGACAAAAAGTTAGCCATTTATAGCACAGTGTCTGAGAAGACAACTTTGAACAAAGCCAACAATAAGTGATTAAATAAAATTTGAATACCCCTAAGACAACCATCTCAGGATCACTTTTTCAGAAAGGTTTACCCTTACTACCCTGTCTAAAATTTCTCTCCGCCCTTTTTCTACATCATCTGTTCTTGATATCTCTGTTTGCCCTATGTCTTGTTCCTAAGAAACAGACCTGTCCTTCTCCTGCTGTGCACTATTTCCCAAGATGAATAGTTTTCTCCCATAGTAAACCCAGCTGACTTCTGCCTGAATTTGGTCAATGGGAGACCAACAAGGGAAACTGAAGGATATAAGAAGGGAGGAGCCCATGGATTTCTCCCTCTCTCTTTGCCTTTGGTTGCATGTCAAGCTGTAGCTGGGTAAATTCCTGACAAAGGCCTGTCACGATTCCAGCTTCTGCAAGTTATCCTGGCTTCTGGGTTTCTGCAATACTGTATCTTCAATTTGTTCCTCCAAGAGTGGAAGAAGCATTCCACTACTAGGGTCGGTGTTGCTTTATATACATTGGTTCAGCTTCTTGACCTACTACATCAATAACCAATCATCTGCATTAAAGTCCCTCTCTTTTGAGTACACAGAGAAATTTATTTCCTGGTTGGATACTTACTGATAAATTAAATTTTTCTATCTAAAATTATCTTAGTAATATATTTTTATAATTTGTTGTATGGGGAGCACTACCATTATTCAATGGGAGTAGTACCATTAGACCCTGTGGTTGCTCTAAGTTTCACTTCCAATGTTCAAAGAGCTTTTTGGAAGTTTCTACTATGTCCTAATTTCAAGATCTTCACTAATGTTAACTAAGTCTAGTTGTAATAGCAATATAATAACAGTAAGATAACTTTAAGTACTTTGAAGAAACTACATTAGCCACTGTATGAGAAAATATTGTTTCAATAAGACAGCTTCTTTTCTTTAATAAGAAAATCTTTGTGCATTTTGTTTAAATTATATCTATTTTATTTCTTACTACTCAGATAAATCTCAAGTTATGTCTTTATCCAAGGCACATTAATTGAATGGCAAGAATTGTATTTTCATTTTTTCAACATGCAACTGGGCCATGTATATAACTCATTATGAATGAAGCTAAGCAAATGGCATGACAAACAATCTACCTGTACTTATGAAATTTTAATTATTTCTTTACCTTTTATTTTGAATTTTTCTTAGACCTCTGAATTTTTTTCTGATAACATTCTCATTTATAATCTTTTATTTTACATTTTATTTTTTAAACAGTTTTATTTTTCACAATGTGCTTGGTTTATCTTTGGTAAGCGTTCCAAAATTAGATCTGCAAATGAACTGTAATTATTTTTGCATTTATTTAGCATGCTTGTTATGATGGCAGAACTAAATGAAAATCACCTTTTCACAATTGGATCTTCCAGTTTTTTGTTTGTCTGCCAGTACATCAAATTATTTGTTTTATATTTTAGAATATGTGTACTTACTTTTATCCTCTAATTCAAATTTATATCTAATGCAAAACTAGGGATAATCAGCAGAGAGATAATGTGGTTGACATTTATAATTTTGTTTAATTTAAAGTAGGAGACTGACCTAAATATTTGTCTAAAATAATCTCTCTCAAAAATTTTTATAATTATAGAATTATATTTTAAAAAATCAACTTAGTAACATTGAAATAATTATCTCCAAATAACTTGACATTATTCAAAAATCTCATTTTCTATGTTGTATCTTTCTAGTCAACTAAATTATGAAGATGCAATTCAGGGGTTTTAATGCTGTAAAGAAGAACCAACAAAATAGTTTTCAAGTACTTCTATATTTTGAGCCACAGACCACACTTAGGCAATTAACTGATTATATATTTTAAATTTTTCCTAACTAAAATCATAAATAACAGCCATAATAAAGTTAAATTACTAATGCTATTTAGATACGCACTGAAATGTTTAGATATGTATAACAGGGAGTAACTAATGAATGCAATTTACTAATAATTATTTTAAATCCATTCAAAGATAAACCAAAGTGACTTGTAATACCCACCATTAGACTTAATTTATAATATTTCATGTTTACTTAGAAATCTTTGTTAAAGTTGGTATCTCCCATATCGTGAAGGCATTCTACTGTCACACATTAAAAGCATGATGCTAAATCTGTATTTTGCTTTATATACACACCATTTTGTTTTGCTTGAAAAGAATTGTAGGTCATTATGATAAGTAGTCAATTTAGGTTTGAAGCATCCAGAAACAATGGTTTCACAAATCAAGCTTAAGCAGTCTTGGCTCAGACTGCTACTCTCTGCAACCCATTCCAATTGATGAACACCACCTGTGGCAACTCCTAATTCACAGCAGCAGGCAATAATTTCCCTTGGATACCCATTACCAGTAATTATTCCCAAGACAGACTATTAGCTATGGCTTGTGAACATCTCTGCTGTAAACTTGAAAAAAATTGATTCTAATATTTCCTTTGAGAGTCATTGGTACCTTGGTGACAACATAAATTAAAAAAATTCTCTTTAAGAAAAAAAAAAAGGCATAAGCATAGTTTTGGAAAAGTTACAAAATTATTTTAAATAATATTTTCACATATTTTGCAGGGTTCTTATGTGATTATGTTAAATACAGAAACAGTCGTAAATCCTGTTGACAAGGTAATGTGAAGCAGTTGATATTTAGACTGTTGATTTTTTTCCCTTCATATGAAGTCATTTTCAAAAATTTAACTTTTAGCATAAACATCACTGCTTAAGAAGAAAAAAAAGAGAAACGGGAAGCACTGAGTGTAGGAAAAACTCAAACTTTTTCTCTGTTCTCACATCACAACAATCAACATAGAAGACTTCTGTGACCAAATGCATGAGGATTTCTCCCCACCCACAAGCAAGCAATGAATTATGCAGTGAACACCAACTAGATGTCCTCCAATCTAATTCAGTGCTGAAGCTGTGAACCTGGTGATGGCATCAGACCCCACAGGTTGAGGACTCAGTCCCACAAGGACCCCACTTTAGACATCAGTCACAAGTCCTAACTTAACCTCTGGGACTTCTGACAGACCTGTTTCAAGTTGGAGTTCTCACGACCCTTTCTCTAGGCTCAGTTAATTTGCTAGAATGGCTTACAAAAATCAGAAAAACACTCACTTACATTTACTGATTCATTAAAAAGGGTATTTTAATAAATAAAAATAAACAGCCAGATGAAGAGATACATAAGGGGAGTTCTAGGTGTTTCCCAAGCACAGAAGCTTTTGTTCCCATGGAGTTGAGGTGTACCACTTTCCCAGAACATGGATGAATTCTTGTTCACCTTCCCATAAGCCTTCACGAGTTCAGCTGTCCTGAAGCTCTCCATGCCCCATTCTTTCAGGAATTTTACAGAGATTCCTTACATAGGCATCATCTATCTAATCGTGAACAACTGTGTGGAAATGTGATTGGACAACAAGAGTACTGTATAATACTAACAGACTGAGGGTGGAAGTCAGCAAGGCCTGTTTATTCAGATTCTTTTTGGCCTCTATGTGCAGCATTTCTTCCCTCAGGTTAGGACCCCTTCTGAAAATGGGGGTCTTAGGACCCACGCTTATGCAAAATAGGTCAAAGGATTTATTTATGGCCAGCCTTAAGACAGAAAGGGGAGGGAGGGTCATGCCTTTGGGAGAAGAAGGAGCCGATGAAAGAAGAGTAGTAGAAGGTCAGAGAGAGATTCTACTTTCTAAGGCCTGCTTCTTAGGCTTCAGGTGCCCCAACACTATTTAACCTGTGGTGTGTGTGCATGTGTGTGTATACACGTGTATATGTGTATGTGTATATATCCTATATATAATATCACAAGCATTAAAACATTTTACATGCAAACTACACTTGGAAACTTGCTTCTACTAAATTTCACAGGAATTTAAAGTGGTTGATTTCAATATTATTTCATAAAAGTATAAATTCATTTGTAAAAATGCAACCTATACTTGCATGCAAGTTTACTATTTCTAAACTTTGTGATATTAAAAATGTTATGGACTTTTCATCTCTTATTTTTATAGAGCACATATATTTGAGTTTTTTCATGCCCTTGTTCATTTTTGCCATTTAGAGGAGTTGTAAAAAATCGACATGTATGTCGATAAAACTTCCAGAGATGTATATTCATAACCTCTGTTAGCCTGCTGCAAAATGCTGGTGTTTGACAGTTCACAATTATCCATTTTTTAGTTTTCTCTGTGAAGGCGAAACTATAGTGGCTAAACATCACAGCCAATATATGTATGTGAATAGGAAGATTAGAAGCAGAGAGAAATGTTACCATGCAAAATATACATAGTGCATTTTTGTTAAGAAAAAAGACAGCAGTATTGCTGTAATGTAAAATGACTGGTTGTTCCATAATCAGAGAAATGTGTAGGTCAAAGCCTGAGTGGATATAGACGCTTAAACAAGATTTCATAGTTGAAGATAGGAACTGAAGTGTTTGGAGACTCTTGGAAAGAAAATTTTATTTTTATTGGTCAAAGCTAGCTAAGATTTAGTGAATTTATTTATAAGATTTTCAGAACAGAACATTAGCATCAAGTATATCCTAGTACAAAATTGGAATTTGATTTTTGTTCTGTTAAAATTTTTAAAATGCTTCTTGGATTGTTGTTCTTCTGTGAATAAGAGTTTGAAAAGATTTTTCACTATCTTCTGAGTAATCTGAATAAAAGGCAAAGATTCTACGTCTTATCAGTATAATTTCCTATGTTTTATATTGACTTTAATATGTTCTTGATTAAGAGAGCAAAGACTTATCGCTTCTAAAAAAGTAGGTTTCTTTTTTATTATGTCACTTCTTATAGTATTTACTTGTACTGTACTTTGTTTCAGTTTAATAGTCAAGTATTTTTTCTTAATAAGCTGGGTCTTATTTAACAAGTTTCAGATCTTTTGACAAATTTTAGTATTTTACCATTTCAAACTGCATTCTAAGTAATGTCTTTAAAACCAAAAACTGTTTTAAAGATTTTCCAGAGGGCTCCTAGATAATCACACATACACAATTTTTTTTAACCTTTTAAAAAGAGTTGCTAGAAATAATTAGGTCTCTAGTGTTACTATTGTTAAGTAGGTTGATAAGCATCCTCAATTCAGATATGTTATTCAGTCTTTCCTGGGTTAAATGCGCATGAGTAAAATGTTACTCATATAAGTATTTCTTAATTTTATGCTATATGAAAAGTTCCTAAAGATATGTCAATGTCCTTATTGTCAATTATATGTTTTACATATCAGAGATCTGATGCTGCTTTATCTTAAACAATAATAGCATAGTGTTACCAATTATGAATCCAGTTATTTAAAAAATGTTAACTTAATCACAGCTTTATTATTTAATTTTAATAAAGTATATTCTAGGCCAGATATTTTCTCTTTTTTACGTAGTAATCATGCATTGTTTATTTCAAAACTGCTTAAAGAGTAGATTTTAAGTGTTTTCGCCACCAAAAAAGGATAAGTATGTGAGGTGATGGAATTGTTAATTAGCCTGATTTAGTCATTCCACATTGTAAACGTATATCAAAACATCACATTGCACCTCAAAACTATATACAAATATTGTCAATTAAAATAAAATTCGAAAAAGAAATAAGATATTACCTATACATTTAGTCTTCTGTGTGCCTCCTTTTTTTTTTCTTTATTTCTTCTAAAAAACAATGGGATACATGTGCAGAACATGCAGGTTTGTTACATAGGTATATGTGTGCCATGGTGGTTTGCTGCACTTATTGACCCATCCTCTAAGTTCCCTCCCCAAACCCCTGACCCTCGAACAGGCCTTGGTGTGTGCTGTTCCCCTCTCTGTGTCCATGTGTTCTCAATGTTTAACTCCCACTTATGAGTGAGGACATGCGGTGTTTGGTTTTCTCTTCCTGTGTTAGTTTGCCGAGGATGATGGCTTCCAGCTTCATCCATATTCCTGCAAAGGACATGATTTCATTTATTTTTATGGTTGCATAGTATTCCATGGTGTATATGTATCACATTTTCTTTATCCCATCTATCATTGATGTGCATTTGGATTGGTTCCATGTCTTTGTTATTGTAACTAGTGCTGCAATAAACATACGTGTGCACATATCTTTATAGTAGAATGATTTATATTCCTTTGGGTATTTACCCAGTAATGGGATTGTTGGGTCAAATGGTATTTCTTGTTCTAGATCCTTGAGGATTTGCCACACTGTCTTCCAAAATGGTTGAGTTCAATGGGAATGGGAATGAATTTACATTCCCACCAACCATGTAAAAGTGTTTCTATTTCTCCATGGCCTCACCAGCATCTATTGTTTCCTGACTTTTTAATAATCCCCATTTTGACTGGTGTGAGATGGTATCATATTGTGGTTTTGATTTGCATTTCTCTGATGATCAGTGATGTTGAGCTTTTTTTCATGTTTTTTGGCCACATAAATGTCTTCTTTTGAGAAATGTCTGTTCATATCCTTTGCCCACTTTTTGATGGGGTTGTTTTTTTCTTGTAGATATGTTTAAGTTCCTTGTAAATTCTGGATATTAGACCTTTGTCAGATGGGTACATTGCGATTTTTTTTTTCCATTCTTTAGGCTACCTGTTCACTATGATGAGAGTTTCTTTTGCTGTGCAGACACTCTTTAGTTTAATTAGATCCCATTTGTCAATTTTCACTTTTGTTGCAATTGCTTTTGGCATTTTTGTCATGAAATCTTTGCCCATGCCTATGCCCTGAAGGGTATTGCCCAGGTTTTCTTCTAGGGTTTCTAGAGTTTTGGGTTTTACATTTAAGTCTTTAATCCATCTTGAGTTAATTTTTGTATAAGGTGTAAGTAAGTGGTCCAGTTTCAGTTTTCTGCATATGGCTAGCCAGTTTTCTCAGCACGATTTACTGAATAGGTGATCCTTTCCCCATTCCTTGTTTTTGTCAGGTTTGTCGAAGATCAGATGGTTGTAGATGTGTGGTGTTATTTCTGAGGTCTCTGTTCTGCTCCAATTGGTCTCTATGTCTGTTTTGGTACAAGTACCATGCTGTTTTGGTTACTGTGGCCTTGTAGTATAGTTTGAAGTCAGGTAGCATGATATCTCCAGCTTTGTTCTTTTTTGCTTAGGATTGGCTTCTTTGATTCCATATGAAATTTAAAATATTTTTTTCTAATTCTGTGAAAAATGTCAATAGTAGTTTGATGGAAATAGCATTGAATCTATAAATTACACTGGGCAGTAGAGCCATTTTCACAATACCGTTTCTTCCTATCCATGAAAATGGAATGTTTTTTCATTTGTTTTGTGTCCTCTCTTATTTCCTTTAACAGTGGTTTGTAGTTCTCCTTGAAGAGGTCTTTCACATCTCTTGTTATCTGTATTACTAGGTATTTTATTCTCTTTGTAGCGATTGTGAATGGGAATTTATTCATTATTTGGCTCTCTGCCTGCCACTTGTTGGTGTAAAGGAATGCTTGTGATTTTTGCACATTTATTTTACATCCTGATAATTTGCTGAAGTTTCTTATTTGTTCAGGAAGTTTTTGGGTGAGATGATTGTGTTTTCTAAATATAAAATCATGTCATCTGCAAACAGAGACAACTTGACTTCCTACTTGAATACCCATTATTTATCTTACCTGATTGCCCTGGAAAGAAATTTTAATACTATGTTGAATAGGAGTGGTGAGAGAGGGCATCCTTGTCTTGTCCTAGTTATCAAAGGGAATGCTTCTAGATTTGCTCATTCAATGTGATATTGGCTATGGCTTTGTCAAAAATAGCTCAATATTTTGAGGTATGTTCCGTCAATACCTAGTTTATTGAGATTTTTTTTTTTAACATGAAGGGATGTTGAATTTTATCAAAGGCCTTTTCTGTATCTATTGAGATAATCATGTGTTTTTTGTCTTTGGTTCTGTTTTTGTGATGGATTATGTTTATTGATTTGCATATGTTGAACCAGCCTTGCATCCCAGGGATGAAGCCGATTTGATCATGTTGGATAAGTTTTTTTACGTACTGCTGGATTTCCTTTGCCAGTATTTTATTGAGAGTTTTTGTATTGATGTTCATCAGGCATATTGGCCTAAAGTTTTCTTTTTTGTTGAGTCACTTCCCAGTTTTCATATCAGGATGATGCTGGCTTCATAAAATGAGTTAGGGAGTAGTCCCTCCTTTTCAATTGTTTGGAACAGTTTCTGAAGAAATGGTATCAGCTCCTCTTTGTATTTCTGGTAGAATTCGGCTGTGACTCTGTCTGGTACTGGGCTTTTTTTGGTTGGTAGGCTAATTACAGCCTCAATTTCAGAGCTTCTTATTGGTCTATTCAGGGATTTGACTTCTTCCTGGTTTAGTCTTCGTAGGGTGTATGCATTCAGGAATTTATCAATTTCCTCTAGATTTTCTAGTTTATTTGTGTAGAGGTGTTTATAATATTCTCTGATGTACTTTGTATTGCAGGATCAGTGGTGATATTCCCTTTATCATTTTTCTTTTTCTCTATTTGATTCTTCTCTCCCTGCTTCATTATTAGTCTAGCTAGCAGTCTATCTCTTTTAATTTTTTCAAAAAAAAAAAAAAAAACAACTCCTGGATTTGTTGAATTTTTGGAGGGTTTTTTGTGTCTCTGTCTCCTTTAATTCTTGTCTGATCTTAGTTATTTCCTGTCTTCTTCTAGCTTTTGGATTAGTTTGCTCTTGCTCTGTAGCTCTTTTAATTGTGATGTTAGGCTGTCTATTTTAGATCTTTCCCACTTTCTCCTGTGGGCATTTAGTGCTATAAATTTCCCTCTTAACACTGCTTTAGCTGTGTCCCAGAGATTCTGGTTCATTGTCTCTTTGTTCTCTTTGGTTTCAAATAACTTCTTGATTTCTGCCTTAATTTCATTGTTTATCCAGGAGGCATTCAGTAGCAAGTTGTTCAATTTCCATGTAATTGTGTGGTTTTGATTGAGTTTCTTAACCCTGAGTTCTAATTTGATTGCACTATGGTCTGACAGTCTGTTTGTTATGATTTCTTTCTTTTGCACTTGCCGAGGAGTGTTTTACTTCCAATTATGTGGTAGATTTTAGAATAAGTGCCACATGGCACTGAGAAGAAGGCATATTCTGCTGATTTGAAGTAGAGAGTTCTGTAGATGTCTACTAGGTCCACTTGATCCAGACCTAAGTTTGAGTCCTGAATATCCTTGTTAATTTTCTGTCTCATTGATCTGTCTAATACTGACAGTGGAGTGTTAAAGTCTCCCACTGTTATTATGTGGGAGTCTCAGTCTCTTTGTAGTTCTCTAAGAACTCATTTTATGAATGTGGGTGCTCCTGTACTGGATGCATTTATATTTAGAACAGTTAGCTCTTGTTGGTGAATTGTTCCCTTTACCATTATGTAATGCCCTTCTTTGTCTTTTTTGATCTTGGTTGTTTTAAAGTCTGTTTTATCAGAGACTGGAATTGCAACCCCTGCTTTTTTCTGTTTTCTGTGTGTTTGATAAATTTTCCTCAATCCCTTTATTTTGAGCCTATATATGTCTCTCCACATGAGACTGGTCTCTTGAATAGAGATCACCGATGGGTCTTGACTATCCAATTTGCCAGTCTATGTCTTTTAATTGGGGCATTTAGCCCATTTACATTTAAGGTAAATATTGTTATGTGTGAAATTGATCCTGTCATCATGATGCTAGCTTGTTATTTTGCACACTAGTTGATGCAGTTTCTTCATAATGTCATTGCTCTTTATATTTTGGTATGTTTTTCCAGTGGCTGGTACTGGTTTTTCCTTTCCATATTTAGTCCTTCTTTCAGGAGCTCTTGCAGGCAGGCCAGGTGGTAACAAAATCCCTCAGCATTTGCTTGTCTGTAAAAGATTTTATTTCTCCTTCGCTTATGAAGCTTAGTTTGGCCGAATATAAAATTCTGGGGTGAAAATTCTTTTCTTTAAGATTGTTGAATATTGGTCCCCACTTTCTTCTGGCTTGTGGGGTTTCTGCTGAGACATCTGCTATTAGTCTGATGGGCTTCCCTTTGTAGGTGGACCAGGACAGATATTTTCAATTGTGGATTCAATTTTTAAACAATTTAAAAACTTAATTTTTAAACATTTCTTAATATACAAATTTTTATAAAAATTATAATTGACAAGTATACATACATTTTTGTGTACAACATGATGTTTGGATATATGTATACATTGTGAAATGGTTAAATTAAGCTATTTGACATATGCATAAACTCACATAAATATTGTGTGTGTGCGTTTGTGTGTGGTAAAGCACTTAAAATCTCTCCAAGCAATTTTCAAGAATACAATATATTTTTATTAACTGTAGTCACCATGATATACAATAGATCTCTTGAACTTATTCCTCCTGCTGAACTAACATTTTGTGTCTTCTGTCCAGCATATCCTCCACCCCACCTTCATCCCCTAGCCTCTGGTAACCACTATTTTACTATCTTTTTCCATGAATTTTACTTTTTCACAATTCACATCTAAGTGAGTACATGTATGATGTCTTTCTGTGCCTGGCTTGCTTAACATAATGTCTTCCAGATTCATCCATGTTGTGGCAAAGGAAAGGATTTCCTTCATTTTAGAGGCTAAATATAATTCTATTATGTGTATATATATAACATTTACATTATCCATTCATCCCTTGATAAATATTTAGGTTGATTCCACACGTTGAATGCTGGTGATAATGCTGAAATAAACTTTGGTGTGCAGATATCTCTTTGAGATACTGATTTCATATCCTTTGAATATATACCCAATAGTGAGAACCTGGACAATATGGCATTTCTGTTTTTAATTTTTTGAGTAATATCCATCACTTTATCTATCTATCTATCTATCTATCTACCTACCTACCTCTGTCTCTCCCTCTCTAATGTATATATTTACAAATGTTTGTTGATTTGACTCTTTTACCATTGTATAATGGTCTTCTTTGTCTCTTCTTACAGTTCTTGACTTAAAGTTTATTCTATTTGATAGAAGTATAGTCACTCCTGCTCTTTTTTGATTTCCATTTGCTTAGGGATATCTTTTTCCATCACTTCACTTTCAGTCTATGTGTGAAGTGAGTCTCACAGGTAGCATATAGGAGTTTGTGTGTGTGTATATATATTCATATCTTTTTTCAGCCATTTTATGTCTATAGATTGGAAACTTTAATACATTTACTGAAATTAAATTATAATATATAAGGATTTATGACTGCCATTTTTTTTACTTGTTTTCTGGTTGTTTTATAGATACTTTGTTTCTTTTTTGCTCTCTTTCTGTCTTCATTCCTGGTTAAGGGATATGTTTTTTCTAGTGGTGTGTTTTGATTCCTATTTTTTTAATATTTATTGTCTATCTCCTATAAATTTCGGCTTTGTTGTTACCATGAGACCTAAAAAAAAATCTTGTCATTATAACAGGCTATTTTAAGCTGATAATAATTTAACTTTTATAGCATAAACTAACTCTACTCATTTACTCCATCCTTGCCAAGATATTATGTTTTGGATGTCACGTTTACATTTTTTTATATTCTATATCCTTTAAAATTGTTGTAGCTATTATTTTCAATATTTTTTCTTTTCACCTTTATAATATATATTTTATGAACACTATTACATTATTAGAATGTTATACATTATATATTTGACTGCTTACATTTTTGTCATGAGTTTTATGCTTTTAGTTTAATTAGCATCTTTTTCTGTCAGTTTAATAAACTCTCCTTAGCATTACTTATGAAGCATATCTGGTGGTGATGAATTCCCTGAGAATTGGTTTGTGTGAAAATATCTTTATATCTCTTTTATCTCCAAAGGATGGCTTTCCCAGGTATAGTGGTTTTGGCTGGCAATTTTATTTTTTTCCCGTCTGCATTCTGAATATATCATCCCACTCTCTCCTGGCTTATAATGTCTCTCTTAAGAAATCTTCTATAACTTTATCAGAACTCCCTTGTATGTGATTTGCTTTCTTTTTTTCTTGCTGCTTTTAGAATTCTCTTTATTTATCTTTGATTTCTGAGAGTTTGATTATAATATGTCTGAGAGTATTTTTTGTTTAGATTAAATCTTTTTGCAGACTTTACCAGCGAGCTTCACTGTAGAAAGACCTTCTCCTATGAGGAAGTGAGAGGTGTGCTTGCTGAGTCGGGTGGATCTGTTCTGAAACCATAATGATGCCAGCTGTTTAGTCTCTGCGATGCTTTGTCAGCTGAGGTCAGTGTTGATGAAGATTGCAGTTTGATGTTTCTGTCCTTGGATATTTACAGCTTTCTCAAAATTTGGCATGTTTTCTGCTACTATTTCTTTAAGTTTTCTGCTTCTTTCTCTATTCTTCTTGAACACCTGTAATTTGAATATTTGCTCTTTTGATGCTGTTCTATAAATCTCATACGCTTTCTTCAACCTTTATATTCTTTTTTTTTTTAATCTGGCTGTATGTTTTCAAATAACCTGTCATAGAGTTTACAGATACCCTCTTCTTTTTTATTAATTCTGCTGTTGATGATATTTATTATATTTTTATTTTACTCATTGTATATTTCAGCCCATAATTTATTTTTGACTTAAAAAATAATGTCAATCTCTCTGTGAGACTTCCAATTTGAGTCACTGATTATATTCCTGATATCATTGAATTTTTTCTCAGATTTTTTTCTTATTTTGCTGAGCTTTCTAGAAACAATTATTTTGAATTATCAGGCAGTTTCTCTATTTCCATTTCTTTGTGTGATTAGTGTATTCTTTTGATAATATTACCTCCTTGGCTTTTTATGTTTATTGTTGCTTTGCACTGATGTTCGTGCATTTTGTGGAGCAGTCACTTTTTGCAGACTTTACCAGCAAGTTTCACTTTAGAAAGACCTTCTCCTATGAGA
Organism: Homo sapiens; assembly: GCF_000001405.40. Lineage (NCBI taxonomy): Eukaryota > Metazoa > Chordata > Mammalia > Primates > Hominidae > Homo > Homo sapiens. The sequence continues at coordinate 86,109,247 of NC_000013.11, forward strand.
AAGTGAGATGTGTGCTTTCTGAGTTGGGTGGATCTGTTCTGAAACCATAATGATGCCAGCTGCATAGTCTCTGTGATGCTTTGTCAACTGAGGTCAGCATTGATGAAGATTACAGAGCTCCTTAGTGGCTAATGAACTGTGGATTTCTGCAATGGTGGTGAGGGTTGCTGGAGTTTTCTCAGTTTATGACTGCTAAGGTCCTCCTGATCTCTCTCTCCCACCAGGAAAGTTGAGGCTAACAGGATCCATCTTGTCACTGGGTATGACTTGTAGGCTCACTTGCAGTAGCAGTGGTACCAGTGTCTGATGATTGTCCCTTGTGAAATGAGTGCTTAATGAGTGCAAAGCTGAGGCTTAATACATAGGCACACTGGAAAGATTATGGCTCTGGGATTATGGACGGTAATGTTACTGGTGCACGCATCCCTGCTGCAACATTGGTAATAATACAAAAGGCATGGATGCTAGTGAAGCAGCTGGGGGAGCTGAGAACAGGGACACAGAGCTGCGTGGAGCTAGAGGTTCCGGAGACTGCGTCTAGCTCCCTTCGGTGGCTGAACTAGTGCTCAGAACTTTGGCACACATAGTGAGGGCTTGGTTCTGGGGTCTAAAGTGCAACCTAGCTTCCTATGGTAATGGCTATGGTGTCTGAAATGTGGGCAGGCCCAGTGCTTCTGCGGAGCCTGTATCTGGGCTGTGGCTCACGGAGCGGCAACAGCTCCAGGGTTGGTGCATTCACGGGGTTGGGAAAGGTGGTAGCTCCTTTCCCAAAGTAAATCTGACCAATTCTTGGGGATGGTTGACGTGCAGCTGCATTGTCCTCCCTGTAGATTTACACCAGGAATGGCTGTTCGTCACTTCAGTGGAAGAGACGCCCATGTCCTTTGCAGTGCAGGCCAGTGGACACCACACTGGTTCTCATCATGTGTTTGATACCTATTACCTACATTTTTTTTTTCTCGGTTCCTAGGCATCTCTTTGTGTCTCATGTATGCTGATCTCTCTGGCGATTCTTTCTATTTGTATATTCTCTATTTTCCTGCTCCGCTGTGTTATTCCAAATGCTTTAAGGAGTTCTTGAGCCCTCTAAGGGCTATTCTGGTTAGTGAATGCTGCCTGTATTTGTTTTTTGTTTGATTGTTTTTTGGGGGAATTGCTATTTGTTTCCTCCAAAAATCATGTTGAAATATGACTGCCATTGTGGTGGTGTTGGGAAGTGGCACCTAATGTAATATGTTTGAGTTATGGGGGTAGATCCCTCATTAATAGATTAATGCCAGTCATGGGACTGGATTAGTTACTGGGAGAGTAAATTGAGACAAAGTGAGATTCCTCCTCATGTTTGCCTTGTTGCACATGCCACTCACCTTTCTACTTCTCAGCCATGTGTGACACAGCATGTGGCTCCTACCAGAAGTCTAGCAGATGCTGGTGCCATGCTCTTACAGTTTTCAGCCACCAGAATTGAGAGCAAAATATGTTTTTTTCTTTATAAATTTTCTAGCCCCAGGTATTCTGTTATAGCAATATCAAGTGGACTAAGACAGAAATAAAGGCTGATTTCTCCTACACTGCCATCTTAGTATGCATATTTTGAGATCTACTTCAGAAAACTAGGTTTAAAAAATCTCCTTGCTTGAAAATATTACTAGATTCTTGGTATATTCTAAGGCACATCCATAGTATATTATAATTCAGGATTATTATATTTTATATCTTAGAATTTTTTTCTCTGTAAGGCTTATGTTTCTTCCTTTTAATAAATTAGATACATTATCTACTCTTCTTTAGATACATGCTCAATCATTATATATACAAAATATATAATATACTATATTTTTTGTCTAAAACTTTTTTGTATTGTCTTTTTAAAAATGCCACAGAAATAACCAAATTTTCTTGTCAGTTGCATTATTCTTGTACTGAGTTTTCATCAGATCTTTCACTTTTAAAATCATCAGGCATAATTTCATCACAGGCATTTTAAGTCTTTTGTTATCCTCCTCTAGATATTTTTTCAAATTAATGCTCACCTGAATGTGCTTGTAAATCAGCTAGGGGCCAGACTTTTATTTTTAACAAAGAACTATCATAGAGCCTTGTGTAAAAGGAGTATGTCAAGCAATTTTGGGTACAGCCTCTAGTGTCATCACTTAAATAATTTCGAAGCTATACTAGTACACCGAGTCAGGGTTTCCAAGACTTTACGTGAGGAACAGATGGGACTGTAAAATTGATAACCCAAGATTGAATTGAAAAAAATATTAATTACAAAGAAATGAGTGAGCTGATGAGGGAATAACTTTAGCTTTTTTCAGAATATTATTGATGTGATAATATTTTTGTTTTCTGGAGGTAAGAGACGTCTTTCTCTTTTCCCTTAAAGTATTCATAACTCATCATTGTATTAGACTGTGCTTTTATAAATAGAAATAAAACATTCATCTTTTTCTGCCTTACCCATTTCTGTAATTCAAAACCTCTTGTTGAGTATGCTTATTTCCATGGCAACATGGTTGTTTGCATAAGTTCAGTAAGAACCTATCCTCCTTTTTAGTAGTTTATAATTAAAATAATTTATTATACAAGCAGAGCCTTGCCTGGAATGTCATCTTTGAACATGATACTCATATAATCAGATACACCCAGCCACTTCTAAGAAGGTTAAGGCATACAAATGCTGTCATTTGAGGCTGAAAGTTATTGGAAAAAAGGCTGATACTTTATCTATTAAGATGGCCTTTTTAAATTATACTTTAAGTTCTGGGATACAGCTGCAGAATGTGCAGATTTGTTACATAGGTAAGATGGTCTTTTAAGATATCCAAACAGCTGCTAGGATTCTTGATTTCTTGCCAAAATATAGTCTATGGCTTCCAGATGATTATAAATTCTGGCAAAATTGCAAAGGTCTACTGCACATTTCAGCCCTCATGTTAAGTAGTTCATCTCAACTTGTCCCATCTGCCAGAAACAAATCCTGGTAAAAATATAAAGGTAGGGCACAGAAAAGTACCAGATCTTCTGGTCCCTTTCTCCATTTGCAAATATATTTCAGTCATTTTCTAAGTATAAGGCAGTATAAAAATGTTCTGACCAAGATGGTCTTCATATTCTCCTTAGCTTTTCTAAACTGTAAACAGGCTTTCTCCTGACTATTGGCCACTGACATCCCTTTCTTTTAAGAGCATTTACTTACAAAAACTTGCAAGTGTAAATTATTTCTCTGCCTCCTTTGATATATTATTTTCCCCCAGTCCCTTGGCATTTTTGCAACTCAGAAATGCATGTCACAAGGAAGTGGGATACACACCTTGGAAATGTGATGATCAAGAAAGACAGCACTCCTGTCTCCCAGTTTCTGTAGAGGGTAGCAGCCTAACTTTTATAAGCACCAATTAGCAAACACATATTGCCCAATCACGTTGACTAACCTCTCTCCCTCAATATCTCCACCACTTTTTCACCGCCTCACACAGTGCTTAAAACTCTCGTGATTTGTTTCAATGGAGATGAGTTTCATATCTCTTTAATATGGTAAAGGTTTTCAATAAAGTATTTCTTGCCTGTTTAACTCTTATGGAAATTTTTGACAGTTCTAACCTTAATGTGCATGTTTTCAGATGGTTGGAAGCTCATCTTCATAAATAGACTCCTATCACTTTAGCTTAACTTAAGCTTCTATTAAAATACTTTTCTCTATTTGAAGGATCTCATCGTTTCTCTTTAGCAATAAAGGAACTTACTTCATTGGTAAGGTTATTCAGAACATATAATGGGATTTATACTCTTGTAAAAGCTACACTGCCCTTATCACCTGCAATTATCGGAATAATAAAACAGGCTAATATCATTCTTCAGTGCAAACTCACCAAACTATGAGGAACTCAACTAGTTTTGGCTATAGTCTCACCTTTGGCTTTACCTGATTATACTTTGATCCTCTTTTTCTAGACATAATCAACTATCTTTTTATACAATTGCCAGCAGGCCAATAGGGATCCCACATACCTACTGGACTTTAAAAGACTCTAATCTCACTGTCTCTAATATATCTTGAATACTTCCAAATTCTTATTAAATGCACACATACTTAACACCAATGAGTTCAATCTCTATTTCTCCCATTGCAGCCCTACATGATCTTTAGATAGGGTGCCTAGTTTTCTGAGAACTACAAAACTGCAAAGGCCAATCTTGAACTCAGGTAGAATGGATCTTACACTGTCCTCCCAACCACCAACACCACTGAAAAACTGCAGAGAGCACAATCTTGAACACATGTTTTACAATTAAAAAAAATACAGTCTTTACTCTGAATGAAAATCCACCTGATCTGTGAGTCCCAGGAAGAGATAATAGGAATAAGGAGATGGATATTTTTTCCCCAAGAAGTTTGGAATAAGCAGATGACATTATAAAGGGTCAGTTTCTACCTAAGATGCTGAAAAAACATCATCTAGAATATATATAGTAAGTCCCTACTAAATTTCATCTTTGTCTACACTTTGTCATATTGCTTCTTTTCCAGTGATCTCTCATCCAACTCTCCTACAATAAGGTGACCAAAAGCCTTGCCTTAGGTGCAAAAATTAAAAGTGTACCAAAAGTCATAGCAACCAAAATAAATACTATTCTGATGCAAATGGTTAAAAATCAAAATTAATGCCAAAGTCAATGATGAACAAAATGCCAAGGGTATAAATAAAGATACGGTCATTATTATTGTTTTTACATTTTGGAGAGTGTTCAATGTGTATTAAGGTGGCACACTTCCTGATCCAGTCTCATTGTTATAGTTTCATTATCATTAAGTTTTTGTATTCTGTCTTTTATATTATTTTTAACCAATTAACTACTCAAATTTATTCAAATTTTAAAGATAATTTTCAAATATGGCTTTCATTTGAGTTTACATAGTTTATGACTTCTAACCTCTAAGTGTGTATTTTCACATTGTTCGTGTTTGTGTAAGTCAAAATCATTAAACTGATTATTTTTTTTTTTTTAGACAAAGTGTCACTCTGTCATCCAGGCTGGAGTGCCGTGGGACATTCATGGCTCCCTGTAGCCTTGATCTCCCAAGCTCAAGCAATTCTCTCACCACAGCCTCCAGAGTAGCTAGGACCACAGGCATGCACCACCATGCCCAGCGAATTTGTGAAAAATTTTTGTAGAAATGGATTATCTCTATGTTGCCCAGGGTGGTTTTGAACTCCTGGGCTCAAGCAGTCCTCCCACCTCAGCCTCCCAAAGCGCTAGGATTACAGGTATGAGCCACCACACCCAGCTGATTAAAATATTTTTATTTATATTTATGTTTGCCTACTGGACAATGTGTTTTCTCATTTAATTACAAGAGGTGTGTTGAAATTAATAGGTTGTTAAGATTCTATTCTGTTGAGTATTAAGACGTCAAACCCCATATACAATTTTATAACTTTATAGGTTAAGACTTATTAGGTGAATATATTTAAAGCCACTATAAATGCTTAAATAGTTAAATTATTTCTTATTGTGTGGTAAAATGTATTATCCCAAATAATGTCTAATGGCTTAAAGATTTTTTCCTAATTAAAATTTCTTTTTATTTTTATATGTGTAGTAAGTATGTTTCCATCTTTCATTATTTTTTTAAAATCCTTTCCCCATTCTGTGTGTCTCAAAAAATATGTATATATATATACACACACACACACAAATACATGTATACATACATATACGTATATATGTACATATACGTATGTATATATATGTATATATGTATATACACACATATGTGTGTATATATGTATATATACACACATATATGTGTGTATATATGTATATATACACATATATGTGTGTATATATGTATATATACATATATATGTGTGTATATATGTATATATACATATATATGTGTGTGTATATATGTATATATACATATATATGTGTGTGTATATATGTACTGTTTACCTCATTTTTCTGATAAGCCCAAATATATATATGAAAAGATATATATATATATCTTTTAAAAATTCAATGATGTCATCTAAGTTTTGAATTCTTGTACCCATATTAACATGTCTCCTCTTTTTTCTTCCTTCTAGTTTCAATAGAGTATTTTATATGATTATCTGTTATGCATCCTCCTAGCATAGCAAGTTTACTTCCTTTCTTTTAGTTTATACTTTTTTAGGGGTTTCCCTAGAATTTGTAATAGACATGTTATACTTTTCAAGTAAATATTCAAATAACACTATACTACTTCATGTGTAGTGCAGGCTCCTTAGAATAGATTATTCCCTATTCCTCCCTTTTATCTCGTATGACATTGCTATCATTTATTTAATATCCTCAATATTCCAGTGCTGATATCATTTAAAATGCTATCTTTTAGATTTTAAAAATAAGACAAATGAAATATTTTATTTGGCTTTGTCTCCCTTTTTCAAGTTTCTTACTTTCTTTATCGACATCCCAGTTTATGATCGACATCATTTTACTTCCTTCTGATGAACTTTTAACATTTCTTGCTAGAATGGTTTGTTAAGGGATAATTTTCTCAGTTTGTTTGTATGGGTATCTTTCCTTACATTTGAATAATATTTGCTGAATACAGAATCCTAGGTTTATGGGTTCTGTTTTTGGTTTTGTTTTAAATCCAATACAACATTTTGCTCCACTCTTTCCTGCCTTGCATGATGCATACTCTAAGTCACATCTTTGTTACTCTATAGATAAAGATGTTCCCATAACCTTGTCTTCTTTTACTTTTTTTAATTTTTAGTTGACACATAATAATTGTACATTATTTATAGAATACAGAGTGATATTACTATATGCACATACACTGTGTCATCATAAAATAAGGATAATTAGCATACTCATCACTTCATTTATATATGTTTGTGTTGTGAACATTGAAAATTCTTTCTTCTACCTTGCTGAAAATATGCAATAAATAGTTAAACATATTTACTCTATAGTGATGCAGGACATCAGAATTCATTCCTCTTATCTAGCTGTAATTTTGTATCCATTATTCAATTTCTCCCTATATTCCCCTTTTCTTCCCCTTCCCAGCCCCTAATACCCACAATTCTATTCTCCACTGTCACGAGCTGAAACTTTTTTTGCTTACCTCTCACACAGGAGTGACAGCATCCAGTACTTAGTGTTCTGTGCCTGACTTATTTCACATATCATAATGTCCTCCAGGCTCATCCATGTTGTCATTAATGACACTATTTCATTCTTTTTTATTGCATATATATACTACATTCTTTTAATCAGTTTATCTGTGGATGGACATTTGGGGTGATTCTATATCTTAGCTATTGTGAATAGTGTTGCCATAAACATTGGGGTACAGGTATCCCTTTGACATACTGATTTATTTTCCTTTGCATAAATACTCAAGAGTGGGATTGCTGAATCATATGGTAGTTCTATTTTGAGTTTTTGAGAAGCCTCCACAGTGTTTTCCACAATGGCTATATTAATCTACATTCCCACCAACAAGGTATAAGGGGCCCCTTTTCTCCACGTCTTTGCCAGCATTTTTTTTTTTTTTTTTGGTCTTTTGTGTAATCACTTTCTTTTTGGTTATTTCTTTTACCTCTGGCCGAGCCAAGATGAGATGTCACTTAGCATTTCATCATGAGAACTTTACTGGGTTCCTGGAAGTAAAAGACATTAAGACTGTGGCTGTCATAAGTTTCTCACTCTTATCTGAGTAGCCTCCAAGGATTCATCAAAATTGTTATTTAAATGTTTGTACCTGTTTATAGCGCCAGTGATTTCTGTTTCAGGTAAGCAGATCTCAACTGTGACTCTCTGGATTTATCTGTCTCACTAGATTAGGAGGTGGCTGTTCACCTTATTTTTCTGATAAGCCCAAATAAAATCATTGATGTTCAGTTTTTTGAGCATTTTCTCATTAAAATGATAGAAGTTGACCATTTCTTAGCACTTCATATGTCACAGCTGAAACTAGAAGATCCCATAGGCTTTTTTGTTTTTTTATTCTTCACTATACTTTCTTTTTTCATTTAATTGACTTTGATAACAGAGGCTTTGGTCTTGACATTTCATATTCACTATTTACATTCTATATGTTTGTAATTTATATAATTTATCATTATTTCTTTAAATTTTTACTTTTGAAGTGCCTTCATGCTTATTTAATATTACAAAATATAAATGAAAATATTATCTTAATGTTGTTTCTAAACAACACAAAGATGTTGTAATATTTTAGTGCTCATTTTTACACTCAAAATTTATATGCTAACATGGTTCAATGTTATAATTATTTTCTTTATACCTGCATATGCTAAAATTTATCATCATAACTGCTTTAAGTAGACAGTGACGTTTTTATTTTTAAATATTTTTCTCATTATTTTTTCTTACATCTCAGATCATCTTGTTACAGTAGGTAGTCAGGCAAACAAGAGCTGGGCAGGAAAGGGCTCTCTCAACCCCCACCAGGAATGTCAGGTGACCATCAGGTGATGGTCAAGGGGTTGTTAACTGTCTCTCTAAAAGAATAATTAGTTGCAGCCAGTGCCAGGGAAAAGCCGTCTCCCAATAAATAAAAACATCTTAAACTGGTGATCAGCAGCTTTCTGATATGATCTCAGGAGTTGGGCAAGTGGGCTTGAGCATGCACACTAAGAGGCAAAATATTAGAGCTTAACTGGTATATGACCATCCTCTAGAAACACTCTACTGATGAGGGAAAAAAATCCCTCAAATGAGCATGTGCACAATTTCAGTAAACACATTGCGCATGCAGCCCCTCCCAAGTGTTGTGCATGCAGACAGCCCACTGCAAGGGACAAATCAGGGGAGAAGTGACACAATGCCCCAGGAGCATGCCAACATATAAAACCCCAAGTCAAAGATTACATCATGTACATGAATCTCTCAAGTCACCCACTTGACCCTCTTCCAAGTATATTTTACTTCCTTTCATCGCTACTCTAATACTATTTAATAAACTTTCACTCCTGCTCTAAAACTTGCCTGGGTCTCTCATTCTGTCTTAAACCCATTGGTCAAATTCTTTCGTCTTAGGAGGCAAGAATTGAGGTTGCTTCAGATCCGTAAAGATTTGCTGCTACTAACAATCTTACTAGACAAATTTTTTATTCCCCTTAATTTAGAAACAAGAAATACCTGTAATAAAATTTGATAAAAATGTATTCCTTCATTTTGATTATCTAAACACCTTTACTTCATTTATAGGCTTAAAAGGTAAAAGAGAGTCAGAGGACTCATCCCAGAAGGGCAGAAATCTTCAGATGGCTATTAAAAGTTAAATAAATAAAATGAAAATCAATGTGGTTATAACACTATTGAAGACTGAGTGGACCAAAGGGAGCCCCTGCTCGTTCACCAACAAGGACGGGCCCCGGAGTTTTCTCCTTTTACCCTAGATTGAACACATCTAAGAAATTTAAGAAAAATCAAAAGGCAAAGATTACAATGAAAAAGCTGACATTGGTTGAGGCAACACTGAGGCAAGTTAGGATATTGATTGACAAAAGGGTCTGAGTCCCTAGGCTCAACCCTTCTCTGAGAGCCCAAATACTTTCTCACCAGAGGGTAAAATGGTCAAATGGTCTGGGGGTAGAGAAGAAAAATTTTTCAGACCAGAACACAAAAATGCAAGGGTTGATAGAATTATGAAGTTGGGATGTTTAAAGAAGTTTTATGTAAAGTAGTTATGACTCCTGGTTCCAGTTTCTCTCTCCAGGGGTCTATTACCTCCAAGAGAGCTCAAAACCATGAGTAATCAGTACTTATATGTGTTTCCTGGATGAGCCCTTTTAATTTGTTGGGGAGTTGCCTGTAGAGCCACTGCATATCACGTGGGGTCAACTCCCCAGACACTCCCAGTTGGGCCTCCATCACCCAAGGGCTTTCCTTCTGGAAGAAACAAAATGCCCTTCTTTTTGAAGCTGAGAAGCTCACTCTCTCATTTATCTATGAAAATGACAGTTCCCCATGCAAATGTGCAGACAAGCCAATAGAGATTAATTTTGGGAGATAAAGGTAAAGGAGAAGCCTTTTAGAATGCACCTTCAAACCAAACTTAGGCTCCTAAACTACTTCTTAGGAGATAAAACAAAACAACACACACAAACCAAACCAAACCAAACCAAACCAAACCAAACCAAAACAAAACAAACCAAAAACCAGCTCAGAATAAACCAAGGACCATCAGGCAAACAGGAGGTGCAGGGCTCAAGAGAACTTACCAGTTCCACGCATAAAGAAGCTGGAAGTCAAAGGGTTTTCAGTGGGCCTATGACGGCACCTTACCTCCAGGTTCCAGTGACTCCTTGGCTGGGGGCCAGTACCAGGAGGTTCTAAGTCTTCTCTGAGGCCCTAAATGTAAGCATAGGGAATCAATTATTGTTGATGAAAAAGAGTCAAACTCTGTTAAACATTTGAAGGGATTTATTCTGAGCCAAATATGAGTGACCAAGGTCAAAGGCACAGTATCAAGAGTTTCTGAGAACATGTGTCCAAGTTGGTTGAGTTAAAGCTTGTTTTTATACATGTTAGGGAGACATAAGACATCAAGGAATACATGAAATGTATGCATTGATTTGGTCCAGAAAGGTGGGACAACTCAAAGTGGGGGCTTAGAGGTCACAGGTAGATTTAAAGATTTTTGATAGGCAATTTATTGAAAAAATTTAAATTAAGTATTATCTGGAATCAAGAGATAGGAGTATCTGGGTATCTGGGTTGAAATAAGGGATTGTGGAGACCAAGATTCTGATCTTGTAGAATAGATGGTAAGTGTCTCTTACTAGTCTTTAAAAGGTGCCAGCCTCTTAGTTAAATCTCTCCTGGATCAGGCAAATACCTGGAAAAGGGAGAGCACTCTCTACAGAATGATTTTCCCCACAAGAGACAGTTTTGCAGGGCCATTTAAAAATATGTCAAGGGAATATATTTCGAGAGAAACTAATCTCTTTCAGGACCTGCCATCTGTCATGTGATGGTAAACTAGAGTCAGGTTGAAATTCGTCATCTTACTGCTACAGAGTCTGTTTTGTCAGTCTTAAGATCTCTGTTTTAATGTTAATGCTGATCAATTATGCCTGAATTTTAAAGGGATGTGGGTATAATGAGGCATGTTCAACCCCATCTTCCCACTGTGGTCTGAACTAGTTTTTCAGATTTACTTTGGAATGCCCTCAGTCTAGAGAAAGACTATTCAGTGGGTTAGGGGGATTAGAATTTTATTTTTGGTTTACATTACGGAGAGAAGTGAACTTGCTTCCATAATGCCACCTTAGAACCAGCAGTCTTCCCAATTTAGTATTTTTTATCTATTCTGTTCATCATGAGCCATTGTATTGTCATTGGCTACCTTCCTCTATGGCTAGAGTTACATTTGATTGGCTCCTCTTTCTTGGCTCTACCACTTGATAAGCTTTGATAAAGTGGGTCTTTCCTGCAAATCTAGTTATGGTAATAACTTAAAGCTACTGCTATTTCCTAAGAGCTTTACTTTCCATTTTAGTTTCACTAAATTATGAAATGATGTCTGTAAATATTCAGTTTATTAAATTATCTTTAAATACACCTTTTGATGGTATCATCTCTTTCCTATCAGACCTGCAGGATTAATAAATAGGCTGACTACCTTTTCATCAGGATTAAGTCAGACTAACTTAATATTTTATTAATTATATGATGCTGAGTGATTGAAAGAATTTGGGTAAATAGTTGCTGGGATTCTTTTATTCTACTTGGAATATTAGCAGGAAATATGACAATAAGAGCTGTTCCAGTCACATTCCTCCTTTCTCTTCTTTAGCATTTCAACATGTAATAGATAAAATTTAAGAGAAGGTAAAATAGTTTGAGTCCTAGAAACAGGTATGAACTGCTGCAGTTGGTTTTACATTAATCACCTTACCATAGAGTTAGAAACAAATAAATTCCTTACACACTGTCCTAATGAAGATATGTGGGTTCTGTACAGCTAAGATATAGTCCAAAAGAGGCTCTTAATGAACATCGTTTTATTATAAATCACATCTATACTGTGCCGGGGGATTGCAGACTTACGAGAATCTTCCACTCTAAGGTCATATGTCAATAAATGGAATACAAGGCACTTATTGCCAGTAGCTGTTAGTTTCCTTTGCTCACATAAATACTACAATCTTTTTAAAATTTTTATTACAAAGTCCTAAATTCCATTGTTCAATGAAGTTACTTAGCAAGTGCTTCTGAAGCCCATTGGATAAGACAATGCTAATGATTCATTTCCATTCTACATTTTCAGGAGATATTTGAAGTACATTTTATCTATTAATATGTTGAACACTTAAGACCACAGAAACAGAATTAAGAATAAAGCATTCCCAGTGCTTTATTTTTACCAAAGCACATTAAAAGTATAGCACTTAGCCTCTGATATAAATCATTATAGGCAAATTACTCATTGTCTCTACCTGGTAATGCATGGTTCTAATGGAATGTAACATAATTTGGTGAATCAGAGAAGTTACAGTGAAATGAAAGCTTAAAGAATTGATTACCAAGATAATGCATTTGTAAAATACATGTGTTTATACTATATACTAAAAGGTGACTAAATTACCATTAAAATAAAATATAATTTCCTCGGGGCCTCAATATTTGTAGTTATAATACATTAATATTTTCAAATATTCTCAATATAACCTAAGCCAGTCGTCTCTTGATTCTTAGGTTGGTGATGGCATTGGTTAATATGCTCTTTTACTTTCATTGTTACTGGGTTAACTGTCATAGTCACAGATGTGTGTTGTCACTTTCTCTAAATAAAATTCAGTAGTAGTAGCAATTATTTCCAAATAATATTGACCACATGCCAGAAATTCAGGAAAGAGGAGAAAAAAGGATGTAGAAAAAACCTGTAGGACAAGGAGAATTAATACAGGAGGCTGTGACACCTATCTCATATTTTTTGACATATACAGCAGTCACATTGGATCTCTGTCCACCGAAAAATTGTTTTTCTTTTTATTTTTTAAAAAATATTTCAATTTCTCCTTTTTTAAATTAGTGTGGCCTTTTTTGCATATTTCTCTCTCTCTCTGTCTCTGTGTCTCTCTCTCTTATTTTACTTGCATGAAATGTCTTCAAAGCCTTAAGCCCTCTCTCTCAAGCATCTTTGGAGTCTACTAGGCACTGTTCTGACACCTATGCCCAATTTTCTCCTTGATGTTCTTATTTTACAGAGAACGTGGTAGGCGCTCCTGCTCAGATTCACAATTTCCATATTTTAACCCCTTTCCACTTGTTGGTAAAAGCTCTCAAAAATTTGTTCCCACCATAGCCTCCTTTCCGAGGCTTCCTTCTCCAACTTTCTGGGACTCCATCATTATGTCCTTTCTCTCAGATTTCTTCTCTGTGATATCTTAAATAACTGTTCCTTTTTTAAAATAAAGTAAAGCAACTTTTTTAAAAAAAAGTCATCTCTGTTTTTTCGAAACTTGTAATGAGAGCTAGAATAAATTAGGTGTACATACCAGAGACTTTAAAAATGAACAATTGGAAAGTTCCACATATTTGTTCACTGTTCAACATACCAATTAGAATTAATTAGTGTATGTAATAAATCATACTCTTTCCTTTGGGTAGCCAAGATATTTATATAATGCTAGACCAATGGGTCTGAAATAGGAGACTTCAAGGTAGTCAAAGTATCTGATAATTGATTGAATTCTTTAGTAACTACTAAAGACTCATATAGTTTTGTTTTAATGTGCAAATACATCTTCTCTAAAAGGAGAACACTAAATGTATTTTAAAAGACCAGCTATGTTATGAAAGCTAATTTCCGCTTAAGCTTTCATAAATATGAATACAATTACATATAAACAGGAAGTTCTACAAATTCTTGCATGTCCTCGATTAGTAATTAACATCTTATAAATAGTAATATTAAGTAATGATTTTCCATGATGAAAAACTTCAGAACCTAATATTTTTATCATGTTGGTAAAGGCAAAAACTTTTAAAGACAAGGTACCAGATTTTAATAGTTTAATTATTCGATTCGGCAGAATTTCTTTTTGTTTAGAAAACATTCATTTGACAAAAACGTAGGCCATTGGTCATACACATATGCCTCTGCTTTGTTGTTAGAAAATACCTTGCTGTACCATACTGTTCTTGGCATCTTGGCCATTGATCAGAGTGAAGTGGGGTGACAAGGTCTGACTGTGTTAGGATTTAGTTGTATATGAGATGACAGTCATGTTTTCAAATAATAGAGTCTAAAACTGTGAAAGGAGAGAAAGAGTGTGGTGAGATCAAGAAGAGTAATGGCAAATCCATTCTGTGTTCATTATTGAACCTGGTCTTGATGGGGCAGATCTTCTGAGTAACCAGTTGACTGCAAAAGAGTCAAACACAAGTCATGTCCACATAACTGGGGATTAATTCAGGGTGTGTAGCTACCTTCTTGGATTTATCTTAATTCCAGCCCTAACAGGAATTCAGGAGTTAGCATGAAGTTAAAGATATATCTGTTTCTTTATTATTATCAATTTTGTTGATATCCATGACCCCTTGAGAAATGTTCTACATTTAATGATTAATGTGATTTCATGTAATTATTTATATCCTTATAAATTATAAATGTACTAAATTGTACATTTCACACACCTATAAATGTACTAAATTGTACATTTAACACATTTATAAATATGTTAAAATAAATTTATAGTAAAAGTATTATAAATTTACAAAATTAAATGTTTATTTATATTACTTTTTATTCCCAAATTCAGTGACCATTAAGAACAAGATATTTATTTTTGTTTTAAATCAATGAATTTATTTTTTAATAAGAAGTACAGGATTATAAAAGGATCAGGCTATAAGTAAACTGTTTTAAAAAAAAGAAGTAGCAAATTAATTCAAAATAGCCCCCTAGAAGTCATCAGTAAAATCATTTGACAAGTAGGATTCAAGACACTCATATAGATAAATGGAGAGAAAGAGAGGGAAATTGGCAGATGGCAGAAAAGTTATCATTAATGAGAACAAAATATATGTATTTAAAAGTTTACATATTAATTTTCTTGATTATCAGAGTAGATAAATAAACAGAAAGAATTCCCAAAATGTATGTAAACATTGCTTCACCAGATAGTCTATCTGGTTCTTAAAATATATTCCACCACCATAATAAAAATTATTAAAAGCATAGATTTTATAATTTTAATATATTTTATCCAGTTTCTATATTAAATATTTAAAATAGTTCTAAACTCTACTTTTAGAGAGCAATACTTAATTCCAGGGTTGAATGTTTTTATATTATTTTCTTCTTTGATATGGATTAGAAAAAGTGTATTCAAATTCTGCAGTAACAAAATCCCATTTTTCAAAACTAGTTTTTGTTGAGATAAATTTTTTGCTCACCAGCAATATAATCATGGTTTATATATAACTGTTTTGTTTTTATTTAACTTTTCTTCTTATCTATACTACTTTTGATTCATATTTTTCCATAAGGGGCTAGTTGTCAAATGCTCCATGATAGAAGTATTGCCTGTAAAACTGGAAACAGATGGTTTTTATTGCATTTCTTGGTTTTTAAAAGTTGAGTGAAAGTCCAAAGCCAACTAACAGTCTGCTATGGAAGACTAGATATAGACATTTATCTCTTCTATCATAGAAACTTACTGCTATAAACAATAGAAACAATAGAAATATAAACAATAGAAATAAAAGATCAAGAACCCAAGTAAGTGGAAGATTGCTGAAGAGGTGTCATGAGAATTTTAGAAGCTAGAAAGTGGATATGCAATGTTATCTGATACCAGAGACAGATATGATTGAAGCTGGCAAGAAGTGAAGAGCCTAGAAAGTGAGGCACTTTAAGCAACAAACACAGATAATCTCCCCAACCCTCGAGTGTTCTGAACTAACAAGTATCAAGTTCTTATTTATAAAGCTTTGCCTTTGGAGTTGCAATGAAACTAGATAGAATTTTTTTTCACAAGGTTCATTATTAAAAATCATGTTGTACAGCTTAAATACACCTAATAGAAAATAAACTTAAAAGGCTATCTGGGGATAAAATAATGAAATACTTTAATGAAAGTTGTTACAGTTTTTGAACATTGAAGTTAACATAAACATACTGCATGTTCATGGATAAATACTATAGCAAAATTGCCATCATTAAATACAATACCAAAGTGATATTAATTCTATCTGGAAGCAATTTACAAATTCAATTTAATTATAATTAATATTCTCATAGGGATTTTTATACGAAAATTATCATAAGGTTATCTTTTTTCATTTTTGCCTTTCTTCATTTGATTGAAAAATTGAATGAAAATGCAAAGGAAACAAGTTCATCTATGTTTTCCTATTGACCATACATCTTTTTCCCCATGTTTCAGATTCTAAAGCAAATTGTGCAAATTTTCATTTTTTAAATAAATTGTTTAAAAAAAGTTTTAAAAAAGATTCGTTAGATTTCTAATCACTATCCTCTAAACCACTTATCCAAGTGAAAATAAATCTAGCATAATTTAGTGGCTTGTTTTACATCGATTTATGTATACTTGGGGAAGGAATTTATTTGGAGAAATATTAAACAGAAGACACCAGTTGGCAGCCAGGTGTTACGTACTAGACTAGTATTTAGGATTCACTTCTTGAAAAACTGAATTCTTCATGTAAAAAGATATTGGCCAAAATGGGTTTGAGGGCAATTAAAATGCTGTGTAACAATGCCTCTGACAGCATATACATGCATTATTAATTTTTATAGTGTTTCTATTGTATTGTATATATAGATGGAGAATCAGAGATGAGTAACTTTGAGATAATAATATCCAACATTAAAGACAGAAAATAATTTTGTTTATGCCTATGATTTAGCAGTTTGATGTAAAGCAATAAAAGAATCAAACAAAATGGAAAACAAACAAAAGTTTCATGAAATTTACTGCAGAGAATTTTTAAAAATTTGAGAAAAAAACATTTTGGAAATTGTTTTCCTGAGGCATCTGCAATTTCATAAGGTGCCTGTGTCAGGGTCCAAGAGCTCAGAGGTTTTTATAGTGACGTGAAGCTATGAAACCATTGTTGTTGGGCTACGAGACAGTAGCCAGTACAGTAAAGCTCAGAGGTGGTCACATTTAGAATACAGTTTATTAAATCAGAGAAATATGCTGCCATTTTTAGATTAAGTACTTTAATAACAAAATATAAATCTAAAAAATGCATAAAGAGAAAACCTGCAATAATATAATGTGTTATTAAAATGCCAGAATATCTTAAGATCAAGATCTGTCATTGATTTCAAAAACAATATTTTGATACTTATAGAATAAACTTTTCCTCCAAATTATCCTTTGTGAGAAATGTCATGGTCACACTGTAGACATGATGTGAGCTGGGAAATATTAGTGTGGCCATCTTCGGAAAATACAGTGTGCCACATAGAACAAAGCCACACTATAACAGGCAATATTTCCTGAGAAACACCTCTTGGAAACTAGTGAAAATTAAAACTTGGCCATAAGTTGACAGATGGCAATTGGTTGAATTTGAATTTAGTGAACAAAATAGATTCTTAGCAATCAATCATAAAATCAAGTTTGTGAATAGAACATTATTAAGTAGAATTGATATATTTAGAATCAAGGTCTGAGTAAGTCCCAAAGGCCTGAGTCATTTGCATTAACAGAAGGCCCACACCTTGTTATGGCATTATGTGTCAATTAAACTAGGCTATAGTACCTACACTTATTCAATCACTACACCAATCTAGGGTTTTGTCGTCAAGGTATTTTGTCAAGGTGGTTAACTTCTATAAGCAGTTGACTTTAAGATTATCTTCAATAATGTAGATGAGCTTCATCCAATTAGGTAAGGTCTTACAAGCAAAAAAAACAAATGAAGTTTCTGTAGAATAAATTTATTTTAAAGAATGAGCCCATGGAATCATGGGACTAACAAGCTGGAAATTCTTAAGGGAGTCCAGCAGTCCGGGAACTCAGGAATAATTATACATTCTTGAGGTAAAATTCCCTGAGGCTTTTCAACTGATTGGATTGCTTGTGCTTCTCTGCAGAACTCTAACTGATATACATTTACAGTGTCTCAACTTTTGCAGAAGTATTATACAATGGGAAATAAATGGTTGAACAGCCATCTAGACTCCCCCCCTTTACGGTGAGACCTCGCCTTGAATAAAAAGAAGGTAGCTTAATAAATCTTGATACAAACAGTTGATACAATTCCTTTCAGAATTCCTAAAGGAAGTTCCTAATCAATAGGGTAAATGTTTTCAGCGGAGTGTGCCTAAGATTACCTTTGCCTAGAATTACATCTGCTAAACAAACATAGAATCTGGTAATTGAAGGGGCAAGAATTATTGGGGAATTTTATGGCAGCAATAAAATAATCTAAGAAAAAATTGAGATATTTAACAGCAAAAATGTGACTTTTTATTCCAACTTGGAAAAGCGAATCTTAATCTAGTTCATGGTGCATCCTAAAACAAGAATAGATTTGGGGAGCATAATTTGCGCTATTTCTCTGTCTCACCTGTGGCTTACAGTTTTTTGTACTCCTAAATAACTGTCAGGAAAGGTTAATATTGCTAAATTCTCTGATCCATGTAAGTCTAATTTGACAATCCAGCTCATTAGACATTAAAAAAATCCAATTATTTAGAAATTTTGAAATATATGGATATATATGAGAAAATTAAAATTCCCTGTAATTCTATTTTTATGATGCAATTCTGTATTATAATTAATGTTACCTTATTTCTCTTGTTCTTTCAAATACTATACCAATAGCATTATGCAACAGTCAGTATTCTGATAATCAGACATAATCGTTGGACACAATATGAGACAAGTCTCTTACTAAATGCCTTCTAAATTTCAGATTTAAGAACCAAAATAATTTATAATTTATGATGATTCATCCATTTAAATCCAACATTTTGATGGAGTTATACAATAGTCTCTTCATCTTCTCATGCTTGTTCTATATTCTTTTTTTTGAGACAGACTTTCGCTCTTTTGCCCAGGTTGGAGTGCAGTGGCCTGATCTCGCCTCACTGCAACCTCCGCCTTCGAGTTTCAAGCGATTCTCCTGCCTCAGACTCCCAAGTAGCTGGGATTACAGGCGCCCGCTACCATGCGCAGCTATTTTTATTTTTATTTTTTTGTATTTTTTGTAGACACGGGGTTTCACCCTGCTGGCCTAGGCTGGCCCGAAAATCCTGACCTCAGGCAAGTGCTGGGATTACAGGCGTGAGCCACCCCACCTGGCCCTATATTCTTAAAATGTATGCTAATATTCAGGTCCTCTCTATCCTTGCAACTCATTAATATGTTTAAAATTAATCTAGGTATCAAGTAAAATTCATTATTTTTATAAATAATTTTAAGATTAAATACATAATGTGAATTAAAGTAATTATTTAATTATCCAAGTTTTTCTCATTGATAAACATTATGTATGCCTTTCTGAAATACTCATCAGGCTTTTTTTCTTTTTATTTTCCTTTTGTGGGGCTTGCTTAATAATTAGAAATAAAGAGTAGATACATTTATTTTTCAAAGTTAAACTCATACTAGACATAACAAATACTTTAAAAATGCTTATTATTTTATAAAATATATTTATGTGTATTTAATGAGAATATATCAAAAATGAATATATATTTAGTCAAAAGCAGGGATGAGAAACAAACTATCACTTGCTGAATATTTTTTCATTTCTATAGAAATTATAAATATAATATCCAATTTTTTGTTGTCCGTAAGTAATGTTAGCTGCCTTAGTTATTTGCTTACAGGTCTGCAGACACTTATTAATAGTATATTTAACTAGATATAGATAAAACTGCCAAATAATTATATAAGAAGTAAAAACCAAAATTGAGAAAGAATACTATTTTTTGTTGAATAGCATTTTTCTGAATTCAATGTGGTGACTATAATTTTTATTGCTGTTCATAATTAAGGAAACTGCATTAATTGTTTGATATTTTTGCATAAATAATGAGAAAAGCAATGTAGTTTTCTATTCTTAAGCATATACTCCACATTTTTTCTCTAAATTGATTTCTGAATAGAAGATCCCACTTATACACATGTTATATGTAGTATGTCAGTTTTATTTAAAAAATACATATGGCTCTCATAGCATTGTGAAATGTATCTTTTGGATTAGTGAATATTTTAATAAGCCTTGCTATTATTCTATTCACAAAGCAGAATTACTTTTTAAATAAAATTATGTGCAAAATAAGATCTTGAAAACAGGATAGGGCAGTGATATTGATGTTGGAGGTAACTGATCCACTCTACAGCTTACAAAGGTAAAGCAGTCTAAGTGGCAGGACATTTTCATAATAATGCATCATTCTAGGAACACATATTTAGATAATTACTTTACCCAATTTCAGTAATTCACTTTGAAAAAAACAAAGACCAAACAACAAAAAAACTATGTTACTTTTACTTCAAATCAAAAATTGAGGCAGAATCTTTTACATTTGGTCTTGCAGATATAAAGATTTTATCTACCTATGAATATAACTATTTCTATTTGAAAAGTAGTGATTGCATTGTGTACCTTTATGGGACACAGTATATGCATTAACATACGAATTTAAGATCTGCAAATCAACAATACAAATTAGAGAAGATTGCCCAGGATGATTTTGAGGAGAATGTTGTGAATAACCCATCTTTTCTTTTATATATAGCCAAAATTTTACATTTTTGCGGCCAGTAATTTGATAGATACAGACTTATAAAAATGACAAGCTCACATGTATCAGTGAGTTGCTTTCCAACAACAGTTTGTCATCTCTGTAAAAAGGAACAAGAAAATAACTCTTTTGAAAAAACATTAAAAATGTAGATTTTGTTACAAGGCAATAACATTTTTTGCATATATGGAATAACAATTTTAGTTATCTCAAAATCTATTCATGGTTTATAAAAATGTTATGCTTTTTGTGCTTGCTAAGCTATTTGCTACATATATTCAGTATATGTCATTGCTCTTCAGCTAAAATTAATTATTAATAATTTTATCACCTTGCTCAGTGACATGGGTTGGCTGTGCTCCCACCCAAATATCATCTTGAATTGTAGCTCCCATAATTCCCATGTGTCCTGGGAGGGACCCAGTTGTCAGTAATTGAATCATGGGGTTGGGTTTTTCCCCTGCTGTTTATGTGGTAGTGAGTAAGTCTCACTAGATCTGATGCTTTTATAAAGCTTCCCTGCGCATGCTCCCTTTTGCCTGCCACCATCTAAGATGTAATTTTGCTCCTCCTTTGCTTTCCGCCATGATTGTGAGGGCTCCCCAGTCATGTGGAACTATGAGTCAATTCATTCTCTTTCCTTTATAAATTATGCAGTCTTGGGTATATCTTTATTAGTAGCGTGAAAACAAACTAATACACTCAGGTTGTCAAAATATAAAATTATATTTATAGTTATACCTATTGAGATGATTAAGACATCAGTTAAATAGAGGTATGTGTCCATTTAGGTATATTTACCTAAAAAAACTTTTAAAGACAATGTTAACTATTTGCATAAATTATATTCTCATAATGTACTGAGTAATAATGGCGTTTGTCATCTTTTAATGAATACAACAGAAATCCTATGTTTGGCTATGTTTTTGCATTGGGAATCACAAATGCCTAAACATTGGCCCTGATCTCTTGTTCCTTCAGGATTTGGCTGCCTTGATTCTTCTCTTTTGCCTAGAGATATCATTTTATTTTCAGTTTTATTCGTTTATTTGTGATTCTGAAATGCAATATAATAATGGAATAGAATAGATCCTTTGAAAATGGTCTACACATATATTCATATTTAAGTTACATAGTATATTCCAAACCAGATTTAAAAGATTGGAAATTAAAAAAGATATTCCATGAGATATTACATATCATGTGCTAGACACTATTCTAAGTATTTTTCCTCAAGTAAATCACTTAATCACTGCAACATGTTATTATTATGATTCCAAATTTTTTACAAAAAATTTTTAAATTTGCTTAAATTTTTTTCTTTCCAACTTTTATTTAGGTTTAAGGGGTATATGTGCAGGTTCATTACATGGGTAAATTGCATGTCTCAGGGGTTTGGTGTAGAGATTATTTCATCACGCGGGTAATGAGCACAGTACCCGATAGGTAGTTTTTCAACACTCACCTTCCTCCCATCCTCCACCCTCAAGTAGTCCCAGGTGTCTATTTTGCCCTTCTTTGTGTCCATGTGTATACAACGTTTAGCTCCCACTTGTAAGTGAGAAATTGCAGTATTTGGCTTTCTGTTTCTGTGTTACTCTGCTTAGGATGATGGCTTCCAGCTCCAACCATGTTGCTGCAAAGAATATTATTTTATTCATTTTTTATGGTTTCATAGCATCCCATTGTGCATTTGAACCCCATTTTGTTTATTCAGTCCACCACTGATGGGCATCTAGGTTGATTCCATGTTTTTGCTATTGTGAATAGTGCTGTGATAAACACACAAGTGCAGATATCTGTCCAACAAAATGATTTATTTTTCTTTGGGTATATACCCTGTAATGGCATTACTGGATCACATGGTAGTTCTATTTTCAGTTCTTTGAGAAATCTCTATCCTGTTTTCCATAGAGATTATACTAATTTGCACTCCCAACAGCAGTGGATAAGGGTTCCTTTTTCTCTGCATCCTCTCCAACATCTGTTATTTTTTTTACTTTCTAACCATAGGCATTCTGACTGGTGTGAGATAATATCTCATTGTAGTTTTAATTTGCATTTCTCTAATGATTAGAGATTTTGAACATTTTTTCATATGCTTGTTGGCCATGGATGTGTCTTCTTTTGAGAAGTGTCTGTTCATGCTCTTTGCCCATTTTTTTTTTTTTTGACGGAGTCTTGCTTTGTGGCCCAGGCTGGAGTGCAGTGGTGTGATCTCTGCTCATTGCAGCCTCCGCCTCCTGGGTTTGAACTATTCTTCTGCCTCAGCCTCCCAAGTAGCTAGGACTACAGTTATGCACCACCACACCTGGCTAATTTTTGTATTTTTTTTTTTTTTTTTTTGTAGTAGAGACAGTGTTTTGCCATGTTGGCCAGGCTGGTCTCGAACTCCTGACCTCAGGTGATCCACCCACTTTGGCCTCCCAAAGTGAAGGGATTACAGGTGTGAGCCACTGTGCCTGACCTCTTTGCCTATTTAAAAAAACAGGGTTGTTTTTGTGTTTTGCATGTTATTTTTTTTAAGTTCCTTATAGATTCCAGATAGTAGACCTTTATTGAATGCCTAGTTTGCAAATGGTTTCTCCCATTCTGTAGGTTGTCTGTTTACTCTGTTAATAATATATTTTGCTGTGAGGAAGCTCTTTAGTTTAATTAGGTGTAACTTTTCAATTATTTTTTTGTTACAATTGTTTTTAAAGTCTTTGTCATGAAATCTTTGCCAGGTCCTTTGTACAGAATGGTATTTTCAATTTGTATATTAGAAAACAGAAGCAGAGAGATTTTATGTTTTTTCTTCAGTCTCACAAAACTATATAAATAACATATTATGTTAGCAAAGGCAGTCTATCTCTGAAGTATATACATTATAAAGTTAAAAAGAATTCAAATAAAATTAGCATGCGATATTTGTGACTAGGCAAGAGAAAATTTAAACAAGACATAAAAAGCAAAAGAAACTTTGCTAAACTTGGTTACATCAAATTTAATTTTCTAACTCACTATAAACATTGTTAAAAGACAGGCAACAGACTGAGAGAAAACATTTGCCACATGTTTAACATGCAGAGAATTGATATCCTCTGGATATATATATCCAACAATGCAAATGTTGGATATAAATATATCCGGACAATGCAAATTAGGAAAATAAAAAGCAACCCAATTACATAATTGGGAAACAATTATGAATGGAAGCCAATTAAATAGGAACAAAAATTGCCAGTAAAAAGGTGTATCATCTCATTAATAGAAAGAAATGCAGATTAAAACGTTATTAGCATATTCTAACCATCATCTTTTAATAATGCCAAATGTTGTGGAGAGTGGAAATTGAGATCACTCCACAGAAAGTACTTTGAAAAAAACTAATACATCGAAATATGCATTTTTAAAATACCTTAGCACTTATTTTCTTTTATTTATTTTCTAATAATTCTTCCTAATGTTCATGATAAAGTATGTACACTAATGCCCAAGGAAACATTTTTTTTCTAATAGTGAAAAAACTAAGAAAGCATAAGTGTACATTATTAGA
Source organism: Homo sapiens (assembly GCF_000001405.40). Taxonomy (NCBI): domain Eukaryota; kingdom Metazoa; phylum Chordata; class Mammalia; order Primates; family Hominidae; genus Homo; species Homo sapiens. The sequence continues at coordinate 86,133,561 of NC_000013.11, forward strand.
AAATTATTAAACAAACTTAGGGCATAACCATATTGTGAAATGCAATGCAGAAAGGTCTTCACACATATATAACATATATAATATATATGCAATGTATAGATATATATTTGAAATATTGAATATATTCCAAAAAATATAGACTAAATTTAAAATATAACACCAATTTTGCAAAACAAAGCACACACATGCACCAGTAGCATGGATTTCTACTCTTAAATATGTGCACATACACACATAAGGTTAAAACATGTGTATATGCACATAAGCAGATAACAGTAATACCTACCTGGAGGAGAAGAGAAAGGCTGTAATTAGAGCTGTCAAAAGAGACTTCAGCTTAAGTGTACCATTTTAATTTCATAATAAATAATCACATTAATGTTATATTCAATATTAACATTGGAGAGAAAATCACTAAAATAAAAACATTCTCCCTCACAATAATATAATTTAATGATTTGAGAAGAAATTGATTTACGAAGTTAAGTAAAAACATCTGTACTGCACAGTTAGATAGTATGACATTCAAACCCATGCCATGTGTTCAAGTTTATGACTCTGACTCTTGAATGCACGTAATATTTCTGGTTTCAGAGAGATTCCCAATGAGCTCCTGCATCTCATAAATTATATAATTGTATCATCTCTTAATTCTTCAAAATATTTGACAATACAGTCCATATCTCATCAATTAAGCCAGATAGTCATATAAATAATTGATCCTAATTCCTTCAATATCTTTCTCAAAGAACAGGATTGATTTTTTTAGGAAAATACTTGCTGGTTGGATGAAAGTATAACATAGTGGCAGTGTCTCCTAAATATATAAATAACTAGTAAACAACAAAAATTATATATGATGTTCTTACAGAATATGTGCTCAATTCTCAAGCCATTGAAAAATAGAAGAGTTCAAACTGAAGTCATTTTGCCACATATAGTTTCCTTGCATGATTTCCCTTCCCCTTCCAGTGTTTAGACATAGCCTTCATCGCTGTACAAAAATATAAGAATCACTGGCATTAATTTATCATTTTTTAATCAGTACATATTTTATCCTAAGCTATTAAATTTGTATAATTTATATATTCTTAGTTTTCTTTTTATCTTAAGTAACACTTTAAAGTCAGTTGATCATTTTTGCTTTAAAATAATTCAAGTAAATCTTACATAACTAAAACATACAACAAAAAGAATCCAATTTTTCTACAGAAATCCTTTGTTAGGTCATTCTCTATTAACTTGAGGTGAATACAAATGAAAGAGAACAGGTTGCATTATTAAAAATCAATCCCATTATGGACTACGGCACCATATTTTTTGTAATGCCATCTTGATATTATGACTGAGAAAAAGAAAACTCTAAACAAACCTAAACACATTTTAAGCAGTTGTAGAGTAGTTCGCTGTTGAGTTTACAGGAGAAATAAGTCAGAAATATTATTTAATGCATCATAGTTAGTGTCAATGTATTTACTATTTATTTAAACATGTTGACATTTGTATTTTCTCTAAAATTAAATGTAGTAGGTATTTAGGATGCAATGAATTTAAAACTTGGTGACTCAGAGAAGAGATTACAAAACATGAATATAAAATGTCCATATGTGCCAATGTTTTAATATGAAAGTTGATTAAAATTAAAACAAATACTATAGATCAAGGGCTTTATTCTTTAAAGGAAAGTCTATTTAGAGAATTGCAAGATATTGGTATTAGTTGTTGAGGAAATTGGAACACAGTGTAATATATATAACTGATAAAAAATTTACGATGAAATAAAAGCAGCACTGCCGTTGACATTTTATAAGTGAATGCAAATATTTAGAAAAATGAATACTTTTATATATATCATTTTCTATCTTTTAATATCCAAAACACAACATTCGCTATTCCAACTTTTGGTAAAGAGCACTATTATAATTGATGTGATATAGATTAACAATACCAAAAGTACTATCAAACATGTACTTCAGTCGACTTTATAGTATCACATTTATTGTTGGCAATAATAACTACTTATCTACCTACCTAAATTATTTTATTTCTATAAGGATTTTTTTCAATTTGGTACCAATTATTATCATTGGCTAATGTTATTGTCATAGACTTGTAATCAATTTAAACATCCAGATCCCAATTGTTCAGTTTAAATTAATACATTTTGTGAAAAATGACTAAAAACTTCATCTCTTGTTCTTAACCAATTAATTGATCACTTGGGCCCCTACTTAGTATTTTATTAGTAGCTAAATATTCATAAATATATTTTCAAATGACTTAGTACTTAAATTTTAAAGCATTTCTACAACTCTTGTCTTCTAAACAACACTGTGCAATTATTATTATCAGTCCTTTACAAATCATAGTAGACACAATTATTGTTCAGCAAGTAACATTCCTTTCCTCCATCTTCATCTCTGTGGGAGGAGCTCTCTTCCTTCACTGAAGCTGGATTCAGTCATTAATTTGCTTTGACCAAAGAAGGGCCATGGATGTGGTGCAAGCACAGACTTGAAATGCACTTACAGGTTTGGACTTTTCCTTCATTTCTGCTTCCACTGTCATGAGACAAATCTACTTCAAATAGCTTCTGGAGGAAGAATGCTAGACCTCTGGAGCAGACTTGGATCCACCTGTCTCTTGGGAACCAAGTCTGGCTGAATGCAGCCTAGATGGACTTAACACAAGCCAACACAGCAATGTAAGTTAAAAATAAATAATGATTGTTTTATGTCACTGAAATGTTGTTGCTTGTACACAACAAAAGCTGACCCAAATAGGTTATACAAATTACTTAAAGGAAGTAACTTTCTTTATATTATACATGTTATTAGAGAGCCAACTCCTTTTTGCTTTTTAAATTAAACTAGAGGCTGTTTTTTGGCATTAGCATTATAAATTACAAGCAAGACTTAAGCATATATTTATCACTGAATATAATACATGAAAATTATAAAGACAAATTTAACTGTTAATACTGTGGATTGGAGTAGACACGTATAGATATATAAAGGGTATCAAATAGAATGAGCATGTAAAACCATGTTTTGGTATTTACGTTTCAATAATTGATACTCTTCACTAACAAATAACTGCGTGCTCACTATTTGCATTTCCCTTGAAGACTATCAGCATAGCTATTTATCTACCAACGTAGATTTCTCTGATCTCATAGCCCATGTACTCAACGACTATGCAATATCACTAATCATATTTTGTAGGAAAGAATATTAGAGAGAACTCACAATTTTCAAAATTTTGCTTCTTCCATATAAATATGCACCTGTAATTTCTTCCATGTCTAATAATTTTGCTTCTATTAGAATCAAAATATCTTGAAATAAGGATTAGATAATAGAGTACTCTCTCTAATAGCCTCTCATTAGTGCCTATTGAATCAACTGCTGAGTTAGTCCTGTGTAATCATATTAAAAGTGCCTAACAGTAACCTGTAATTATCTAAAAGCTGTAGTGAACAAAAAGAAATTAACAATAGTCAGAGATACTTCTGACTGTAAAGAAATACATGACTAAAGGACATTTAGGATATTCAGATGTAATATACATATTGAAGTCAACTCAAAGCAAGTTTTGGCTACTCAGCTTGCAAGGACATCACACATGTAGTTACTTTGAATAGTTTTAATGACCCATGGCTAAAGTCCTTATTCCTAGAAATTAAACAAAAGGTACAACATACTGTTGGCAAAATAAAAAAGGAACAGCAACTAAAAGTGATGAAAATGGTAATTTCCATTTATAATTTAAACAATTTCCTGATTGCATTTTTATGTTTAGGTAAGTGATGACAGTTTCTTTCAGCAAAAGCAACACGGAATATTTTAAACCATGGCACATGCTCTAATTTTCAGAGCATGAGAGAGAATAACTGGGTTTTGTATTTTATACAAATTAATTATTAATAGTCAAATAACATTTATTATTTTTATGCTCAATAATTAATGTCAAAACTGTTGTTGAAAAAGTATTTCTCAGATTTTTTCCAGTTCATAGGAGGTCACTATCAACATGGATAAGTTTGCCCATTCTTAATGCAAATACTTTGTAAGAATTCCCAAATACCTATCTCCATGAGTAAACTAAGAAGCATTCAAATCAACTTTTTGTGTTTCATGGAAATAGGAATTAAAAATGCTTAGATTTTTGCATGCCCTTTACTAAATAATAATTTGAAAATAAAGTTTAAATTAGTAGTGTTTTATATTGTGTTTGCCATTTAGTAAGCCACTTGAGAAACTTTGTTTTCTCTTGTTGTATCTCCAGGAGCAAACAGCTTCATTGATAAGTATATATTTTAAATGTGAATGGTAGAAATGGAAAGTAATAAAAAAGAGATCACACATAGATAGCTTTAGTCTCTTTTTATTAAATTATTTAAGAAATATGATATTACTCAGAGGACTAAATGTATAAACACGAATGGCTTACCACATCAGCTAGAAGGCAGTTAGACTCATTATGGCCAGAACTATGCTAAACGACTTTCACACATTACACATATGATACTTAAAACAAAGAAGGTTATATTGTAATTACCATGTTAGAAATGAGATGATCTCATGCTGTGAAATTTCACTAAATTTAAATCACTCAACTTCCCCAATTTAAAAATGGCAGCATTTAAATGCAAATATACATTTGTCTAATCCCAAAGCCCATGCATTTAATTACTATGCAATATCAATAATCATGTTTGGTAGGAAAGAATATTAAAGGAAAACTATTAACTTTGTCAGATTTTATTAGTATAGAATTAAGGGAAAACAAAATGAGTTTTAAATGGTGTGAATTAATGAACCAGTGAAGGGTAGTCAACATTACAGGAGTATGAAAAGCGCATTATAGTTGTGATCAATAAACTAGCAGAGCATTATGTTTACAGGAGCAGTTACATTAGAAAAAGAATAATTCGAAAGTTGTTTTATGAAATTTCAGCCTCTCTTCCAGAACAGATGTGATTGCTAAAGGAAATAATATAATCTAATTATATTATTAAGTAATGAATATAGAAGAGTAATCAATAATCACTCTGAATTTACCCAGTTTATCTATGAAATAGATATGATTAAGATACTCATGACAAATACAAATTAATGTTTATACTCTTATAAGTATCTTAAAGAAGGCAAAAACAAAATTCAAGTTATTGAATATGCAATTTTCACACTGAACTAACTATAACTGTTTAGTCCAAGAATGTTCTGTTGGCCCAAGAGAGAGACTTCAGCCTAAACCACTGAATTGAGGAAAATTATCGAACTGAATGTTCTCAGCAAATATTTTCTTCAGGTTTCAACATGCTGGATCTCATTTAATACCTAAATTGTCATTGTTTTCTTTCTATTAGATGTTAAATCATGCAGAAATTTTATTTCATCTTTTTGACACATTTTCCTGCTCCTGCAAGCATAGAAGATTGTTTTCTTTGCCAAAACTTGCCTAACACATGAAAAAATTTTTCAAAGTAGCTAGAGGCATTAAGGCTTATTTTGTTGTTGTGGATTTTTTTTAGTAATCTGATAAGGAATGTAGATATGATTAAATAAAAATTAGTGTATTTTGAGCATAAGAAATTATATCTCATTTTTAAAAATAACAGGGAGACTTAGCTAGGACTCACTGAGCAGATGGAAGCATTGATGATCAAAAATGTAATTTATGTACATAAAACTGCATAATATCCCAGAATAATATCAAATATACATAAAGTTATTTGATGCTTTTATTGAAATGTATTAAAAACAAATGGAGTAGGAAATAAGAAATTGGGTATTTGGGACATCTTCATTGTGTTTTGTCATGTATTTGCCAGTGTTAATTTCCTGTTAATCGATAGTAGAAATTACAACCTTCTATTGCTAGAGGTCTAATTGACCAGATTGATCAATTTATGCACTAAAAATATGTGCTTATTCTTTTACTTTGCAGGTCATACTACATAATACAAATTAGCCATTACTAGTTTCCATGAGAAAGGCTGAATATGTCTATTTTTTTTATTAAGATACACTCTGCATACTGTAATCATTCCAGTGAACAGTGTGGGTTTTTCTCAGAGACTGATGGGCTTTTTAGCCTTAGCTCTTCCCTGTTTTATAGCAGAGGCAGGCAATTTCAAAGTTAAGAAACTTCCATCTCCAAAAATATAAAAGTGTCCTGTGTCCCCCCAAAATACCAGTTGGATCTTAATCTCTAAAATCAGCATTCAAACAAATACCAGCTCATAACATGATCTCCACATTTACCAAATGAGTCTCTTTGCTGAAGAATTCTTATGAAATAATAATATAATTTTAGAGTATAAAAATGTATTCCATGTATCAAAACAAAAATCAATACAGAACAATAACAATATGTATAAGTGGCATAGATCATGGGGATCTGCTTGGACTGTCTCTGCTAACTGTGCTTTTGAATTACAGGCAATACTGATGTGGCAGCATTGATGTGTTTAATTGCATCGGCAGATTTTCTGGTGTCACACTCTTTTTCTGTTCCTAGCATAATTCTTATTTAATGATAATTGCTTTATATTGTGAGCAAATAATTATTTATAATTAGTGAATATTTATCTTAAATATTTATTTTTATCAACTTCCATAAGTAACATTGATTAACATTATTAAATTCTTCAATAGTCATTATTCAGTTTGGTACCAAGTGTGCATTAAATGAAGGGAACATTATCCAAATTTAAATTTTTCTGGAACAAAATGAACGTTTAACATGTTTTAAACAGTAAAAACATACAAATGGAACACATGTTAATGTTTTTGGAGGAGATGCATTGGTGGGTTATTGATGTCATTTTAATTTCTTTGCTGACTATTGATACTCAAGTTTCCTATTTCTTCTTGATCCATGTTTACATTTTACATGTGCTTTCTTGATAGTGATCCACTGCATCAGAATTTTCAAAATAATTGACATAAATTTGTGCATGATGTATTTGTAAATAAGAATGATTTGTAATATTGTGAGGATTGTCAGTTGTTAAAATATTAAAATACCCCTGTACCTATTCATACATAACTGCTGCCTCAGTACTAGAAGAATCCCTTCATTCTGACCCACATCAAGAATGCCTTTTAAAATTCACTGGGTACTACCATTGAACTACCATTTACTTGAAGAAAGGCAGGTTCATACCTGTCAGCCTCCCTTCTCAAATTTAGGTAACATGAGTTGCGGTATGTGAGCATGTAAAGGACCACCTGGCATCCCCAGCCCTCCAGGTGAAACCAGCCAGCTATGGAACATCTCCCATTTTCTCTCACTCTCTGGCCAGAGTGTTTTCTGCTCATGACAGCAGAGTCTGTTCCAATTTGGCCCACTAAAGATGTAGCCACTTGCCTAACTTATCCTCACATGTTTCCCTGTGAGAAACATGGTATCTACAGCTCTAGCTTAGAATGAGCTGCTAACAGGAGGAAAAGGCAGACCAGTGGAGAATATTGCTTGCAACAAATATGCAAGCCATGTATTTTGTTCTTGTAGGGCTGCCACACCCATGACATAAGGGAAGCCCCAGGATAAATAGGAAACAGGTGCACGGACAGAACCAGGTATTCCTTGCATCAGACCCCATACTTTACTCTATAGAGGTGAATTGAACCTCTATTTTGTGGGAATAGTTAAAATCTATTTAAATAAATAGATGAAATAAATAATTTTATCTGAAAATTAATGTTTAATCCACATATTTCATGTATAAATCTATAGCAGTTGGCTTATTTTTCAGATGACATAGTTACTCATATATCTTCTCTTTTATTCTTAATAAATTTAGGCAGAATTTTGAAACTGATAGTGTTTACATAAAGCACACTGAGTTTATTAATACACCCTACAGTATTTGATTTAGAGTCCATTAAGTCCAGTTTGTTATTTATTTTGTTGTATTTATATGGTTTTATTCTTGTCTTTTTCTTTAATGACTACAGTTTATTAATTTTTCTGATGAACTTATTTAAATCTGTATACTTGTCTTTGCATTGTACCACATTTTGATTATCCAAATTATTCAGTTCATCGTATCATTCCCTCCTATTTTCTGTTTTTATTCTTGGTATTTTTAATGTTTTATTATTAAATTAATATTTATAGGACACAAATACTTAAATGATAGCAAGGTATTAATTATATTTTAATTTTTGCCAATTTAAAAATTTTAAGCTGGTTACATAATTATCATAATTATCAATATAGTACATTAGAGTTATAAACTCTTCATGTCCCTTGTTTAGCTTTAATGATACTTCTTTTTAGTCCAGTACATGATAGAGTTTAGTATGACATCTATGTTTGTTCAAAATAGAAGTTACATTCTTCCAATTTTGCCTGAAAAGTTTTGTAAGTAGATTGAGCTTACTAATAATTTGTCAATATATTGTTAATAATTCTGCTACAACAAGAAATGTAGGAATATCTATTTCTTTTTTCTATAATTGCAGAATGACCTTCTGTATATCCATTTTTATTTCATATATTTTAAAATTGTATTATTAGTTAATATCAGTTATCAATTTATACCTTCTAAAGTTTGGTCATTTGAAAATTTTGAATTATTTTACTTTCTTGCTTTTGATGTACATGTGCTCTTACAATTTATTTTGATTAGTATGTATTTCCCTTCTCTTTAGCTTTAGTTGGTTGGTTTCCTTTGTTGACATTTCAGATTTTTGTCAAAAAAATGCTGACTTTCATTTTCAGGAATATGTTGCGTTATATTAGATTAATTTGAAGTACATGTATTTTAACGTGTGTAGTGTTAAGGAAATTGTGAAAGGACAGAGAAAAATAGCAACTCTGTATTATGTAAGGCAAGAGAACACGAAAGCTGATATATTCGCTATATGACTTTGTCCAGCCCTTGTAGCCTAGTGACTGCATTTTTATGAGAAGAATACATGCAAAAGAAAAGGCCTATTTTGTGGTTTAAGTGAGATAAAATCCCAAGGACAATGCTGTTATTAACTGAAGAAATTAAAAGATTGGAGATAATTGACTATTTCAGCCTTAGATCTGATTAAGCATGAATACAATACAATACAATAAAGCTACTGTAATAGCTTTAATACTATAATAATATCAGAAAAAACTAGACTATAAGACGAAGTATGAGAAATAAAGGTGGACATTTTATAATTATAAAGTATAAATTATGTATATAATTATAAAATGTTTTCATTATTCAGGAAAAAGTAATCTCAAATTTGTTTGCAGCTGATATCATAGGTCCAAATGTAAAATTAGGAAAAAATAAAAGGGAAAATAAAAAAATCTATAAACATAATGCAGGATTTTAAGACATACTTATCAGCAGATAGAAGAAAAAATATTTATTTTTAAGTGTATAGAAGATTCAAACAACAATACTGACGCAATGGATGCAATTGAGTTATATAGAAGGTACCAACAAATACCAAATATTTATTCTATTTTAGTTTATTCTTAAATTTTTTAAAATTTGTTCATATAATAGGCCATATGGCAAATCTAAAAAAATTCAAAAGATTGAAAGTATGTAGAGTATGCTCTTTGACCACAATAAAGTCAATTTAAAATTAATAAAATTAGATTTGTTTCACAAAACCTCACTGCTAAATGAATAAATGACATTAGGAATTAGAAAATGACTTGCAATGACATATTGAACTTTATGGCAATAAAATAATGCATATTAATAATACATATATGTAGACATTGATCAAGCAAATGTGAAGATACAGATAATTATATGTAAAATCTTTAAAAACATATTTTAGAAGTCACTGCAGAAGACCTAAAGTAATTAATATTAGGAACAGAAAATGTGCTACAACTATATAAAGGATGCAGACATAAAACATATAGAAGTCCCTTTTTATCTAGGGTTTTGCTTTCCCTGGTTTCAGTTACCAAGGGTCAATTGTCATCCAAAAATGTTACATACAATAAAATATTTTGGGAGAGAGAAGGTACATTCACATAACTTTATTACTATATGTTTTATAATTGTTTTATTTTATTATGAGTTGTTAATCTCTTCCTGTGTCCAGTCCCCCTATAAATGAAACATTAACATAGGTATGCATGTATAGGAAAAAAACATAGTGTATATAGGGTTTGCTATTATCTGAGGTTTTAGGCATCTACTGGAGGTCTTGGAACATATATCTCATGAATAAAGGGGGCTACTCTAATAAAAAGACTTTAGGAACATATATGGGTTGACCAACCTGGCCAGGGTAATCAGGCAAAAGAAAGAAATAAGGGGTATTCAAATAGGAAGAGAGGAAGTCAAATTGTCCCTGTTTGCAGATGACATGATTATATATTTAGAGGACCCCATCATCTCAGCCCAAAATCTACATAAGCTGATAAGGAACTTCAGCAAAGTCTCATGATTCAAAATCAATGTGCAAAAATCACAAGCATTCCTATACACCAATAATAGACAGAGGGACAAATCATGAGTGAACTCCCATTCCAAATGGTTACAAAGGGAATAAAATATGTAGGAATAAAACTTACAAGGGATGTGAAGGACCTCTTCAAGGAGAACTACAAACCACTGCTCGAGGAAATAAGAGAGGACACAAACAAATGGAAAAATATTCCATGCTCCTGAATAGGAAGAATGAATATTGTGAAAATGGCCATACTGCCCAAATTAATTTATAGATTCAATGCTATCCCTATCAAGCTGCAATTGACTTTATTAACATAATGAGAAAAAACTATTTTAAATTTCATATGGAACCAAAAAAGAGCCCACATAGCCAAGACAATCCTAAGCAAAAAGAACAAAGCTGGAGGCATCACGCTACCTGACTTCAAACACTACTACAAGGCTACAGTAACCAAAACAGCATGGTATTGGTACCAAAACAAATACATAGGCCAATGGAACAGAACAGAGGCCTCAGAAATAACACCACACATCTACAACCATCAGATCTTTTACAAATCTGACAAAAACGAGCAATGGGGAAATGATTCCCTATTTAATAAATGGTGTAGAGAAAACTGGCTAGCCATATGCAGAAAACTGAAACAGGACCACTTCCTTACACCTTATACAAAAATTAACTCAAGATGGATTAAAGACTTAAACATAAGACCAAAAACCATAAAAACTCTAGAAGAAAAAACAGGCAATACCACTCAGGACACACACATGGCCAAAGACTTCATGACTAAAACACCAAAAGCAATGGCAACAAAAGCCAAAATTGACAAATGGGATCTAATTAAACTAAAGAGCCTTCTACATAGCAAAAGAAACTATCATCAGCGTGAACAGGCAACCTACAGAGGGGGAGAAAATTTTTGCAATCTATCCATTTGTCAATGGGCTAATAACCAGAATCTACAAATAACTTAAACAAATTTAAAAGATAAAAACAAACAACCCCATCAAAAATGGGGCAAAGGGTATGAACAGACACTTCTCAAAAGAAGACATTTATGCAGCCAACAAACATATGAAGAAAAGCTCATCATCACTGGTAATTAGAGAAATGCAAATCAAAACCACAATGAGGTACCATCTCACACCAGTTAGAATGGCGATCATTAAAAAGTCAGGAAACAACAGATGCTGGAGAGGATGTGGAGAAATAGGAATGCTTTTACATTGTTAGTGGGAGTGTAAATTATTGAACCATTGTAGAAGACAGTGTGGTGATTCCTCAAGGATCTAGAACCAGAAATACCATTTGACCCAGCAATCCCATTACTGGTTATATACCCAAAGGATTAGAAATCATTCTACTATAAAGACACATGCACACATATGTTTATTGCGGCACTGTTCACAATAGCAAAGAATTGGAACCAACCCAAATGCCCATCAGTGATAGACTGGATAAAGAAAAATGTGGCACATGTGCACAATGGAATACGATACAGCCATAAAAATGATGAGTTCATGTGCTTTGCAGGGAAGTGGATGAAGCTGGAAACCATCACTCTCAGCAAACTAACACAGGAACAGAAAAGCAAACACCTCATGTTCTCATTCATAAGTGGGAGTTGAACAATGAGAACACGTGGAAACAGGGAGGGGAACATCATACACTGGGGCCTCTTGGGGGATGGGAGGTTAGGCAAGGGATAGCATTAGGAGAAATACTTAATGTAGATGATGGGTTGATGGGTGCAGCAAGCCACCATGGCACGTGTATACATATGTAACAAAACTGCATGTTCCACACGTGTATTTCAGAACTTAAAGTATAATAAAAAATTAAACAATTTTTAAACACAATAGATAGCTCCTATTAAGATACAACATGCTAAAACTGACACAGAATAAAATAGAATCTTAGAAATACTGAAGAAACTGTATCTATAGATAGAAACATTCCCACAGCACAGAGTAGAGGACCACTACAAATAAACAAACAAAAAGCTGAGACCAGATGGCTATGATGGTGAATTTTCCCTAAACCTTACAATTCCCTAACCTTTAAAAAAATTTTATACAAATATTGTAAATAATAGAATAAGGAAGAAAATGTTCCACCTGTTTCAAAAAGAAGTCTAACATAATCTATCACTGGGCACAAATATTATGAGAATGAAAGCTGCTACCAGTTAATCTTACTAATGAACTAAATGCAAAGTTTATTTCTTAAATTAGCCAAAAAAATTACAAGGAAATTGAAGCACAACCAAGTTGAGTCATTCTAGAAATGAAAAATTTGATTTATCACATAAAATTCAGTGTAATCTACCATATTTTTAAAAAATGGATAAAATTACATGATTATTTTAGTAAGTGAAGAAAATTATTTGATAAAATTCAATATAAAATTTTAGTAAATTATAAAAAGAAAAAAGTTTTTCCTTCTGATAAAGATAATCTTCAAAAAAATTATATGTATTATATGTATATACAAATTACACACACACACACACACACACACACACACACACACATCTACAGCAAACATCATACCTAATAGTGAACGTCTTTTCTGAGCTGAGGGAAGCATTATGATTAACAATTTCTATTCAAAATTCTAGCAGAATCCTGTCAAATGCCAAGAGCAAGGAAAATATGTAAATAAAGAAGAAATTCTACCCACATTTACAGGCAATCTGATAATATATGTAGAAAAGAATATACAGAAAATTTATTGGAATTGCTAACTAAAATTTGTAAATTGGCTAGAACAAATTATTTATTTTCAATTATATTTTATATCTCCCTCACAAAACAAAGATTAGATTTTGAAAAATGACCACTTACGTTATAATCAGATAATCAAAAATACCTTAAATTAATTGGTAAATTTACCTGTGAGATCCTAACATTGAAAATCATAAAATGTTTGGAGAGTTTCAGGATACAAAATTAACATACAAAAATCAATAGCATTTCTATACACTAACAACAAATTAGGTGAAAAATAAATTATGAACGGAATTCTATTTATAATAGCTACAAAAAAATTACCTAGGATTAGGAATAAATTTAACCAAGGAGGTTAAAGACCTGTACAAGTAAAAGAAGGAAATGCTGATGATAGAAACAGGAGGATACAAACAAATGAAAAGACAGCTCATACTCATGGATAAGAAGTAATATTGTCATAATACTACAGTACTGTACAAAACAATCTACACATTCAACACAATCACTATCAAAATACCAATGCCATTCTTCACATCAATCGAAAACAAATTCTAAAATTTATATGGAACTGTAAAAGACCTCAAATAGCTTTATTGCTCAGGAAAGCAATTCTGAGAAATAAGAACAGAACTGGAGATATCACACTGCCAGACCTGATAATATACTACAAGTCTACAGTAACCAATACAGCATGATACTGGCAATAACAGGAGACAAATAGACCAATGGAACAAAATAGAGAACCTAGAAATTAATCCACATATCTACAGATAATTTTTCACAAAAGTGTCATAAACACTCATTAGGAAAAGGACAATCTCTTTAGTAAATGGGGCTTGGAAACTGGATATCCATGAGCAGAATAAGGGAAGTAGGCCCCCACCTCTCATTCTGTTAAAAAACAAAAACAAAAACAAAAAAAAAACTCAAAGTGAATCAAAGACCTAAAAATGTACGATATAAAGTAATAAAACTGCTAGAAGAAAAGATAGAAGAAATGCTTCAGGATATTGGCCTGGGAAAAGATTTTATAAATAAAACCTCAAAAGCACAGGCAACATAAGCAAAAATAAAAAAAGGTGATTATACTAAAATGAAAATCTTCTGCACAGCAAAGAAAACTCAACAACAGAGTCAAAAGACAGCCTACAGAATGGAAGGATATATTTGCAAACTACTCAACCAACAGTGGATCAACGTCCAGAATATATAAGAAATTCAAACATATCAACAGAAAAAATCATGATGATAAAAAGCAAATGATCTGAAAAGACATTTCTCAAAAGAAGTAATATTTTTTTCTTAAAAAATGTTCATCACCATTAATTATCAGGAAAATATAAATCAAAACCACAATGAGATATCATCTTACCACAGTTAGAATGGTTATCCTCAAATACCCCCCCACACACACCCACACACACACACTGCTAGTGAAAATGCAAAGAAAACTCTACTGTTGGTGGGAATGTAAACTAGTAGAACCACTATGGAGAACAGTATGGAGGTTTCTCAAAAAACTACAAACAGAGCTATCCATGTGATCCAGCAATGTCACTACTGGAAATTTATCCAAAGAAATGGAAATTATTATATCAAAGACACATCTGCACTCCCATGTTTACTGCAGCACTATTTACAATTGTAAAGATATGGAATCAACCTAGATGAATTGATTAAAAATGTGGTACATATACACAATGGAGTACTATTTAGCCTTAAAAATAGTACATATCTGTCATTTGCGGCAAACATGGATGGAACTGGAGGACATTATGTTAGGCAAAATAAGAAACAGTAAATTAAACATCACATTTTCTCACACCTATGTAGAAGCTAAAAGTATTTATCTAAGAGAAGTAAACAGTAAAACAGAGGATACCAGAGGCTGGGAAGAATAGAGGGAAGGAAAGGAGAGGGAGAGATTTGTTTAGGGAAACAAAATTACAGCTAGATAGGAGGAATAAGTTCTAGTGCTCTAATCACTGTAAGATGACTAAGTTAACAGTAATATACAACTTCGAGTAGCTAGAAAGAGGATGTTGAGCATTGCTAACACAGATAATAAATGATAAATATTTGAGATAAGGGATATGCCAATTAACCTGATCTGATCACTATATGTTGTATGTATTGAAACACCACTATGTACTCCATGAATATGTACAATTATTGTTTGTCAATTTAAAACAATTTTAAAGAGAGAGATTATAAGAAATGGAGGAAAAGATTGTATACACAAATTGAATACTTTGGTACCATAAAGATTTTAATTCTTTGGCGTATAGATTCAAAGTAATTTTAACAATACTCTATCATGTAGTATGGGGTAAGTGTATGTGTGTTTGTGTGTGTGTGTGTAAATTATCAACCTGGTTCTTAATAAAATTACATGTAAAACAATAGGTAACAAACATTGCCATGATATTTGATGTTTAAGATCATAACGAAAGGAACTACTCTGTCAAATATCACAATTTCTTATAAAACAACAAAAGTAAGATGATAGCAAGATACTGGACAGAAAAACAGACTGGGCAATAGATTAGGACATAAGGTCTAGAATTACACCTACGAAGATAAAGGCATTTCACATAACACAGAGGTTATACTCCAGACTACGGAAAAATCAACAGTTTTAATAAATGATTTGTAATCAACTAAATATTCATAAAATAGAAAAACATAAATTTTTACCAAAACATACCTAACCTCAAACTGAAACATTTAATAAATTATTTTGCATACATTAACACTGATAATTTCAAAACAGTTTATAGAGAGAGTAAAAAAACTCCACAATGAGAGAAATTATATTTGTCTCATATACGACAGATAAAGGTGTTGTATCGAAAGCATCTAGTGAATTCTGGTATGTATAGTTAAGTCAATAAGACAGTAGCATAAATGACATATATAAGCATACCAATTTAAAATGTAAAATAATTGATTAGGCAAGTCACAAAAGGGGATAGGTATGTAAATGTGTGGCCAAACCCTTTAGTTATCAAAATTTTAATTTAAATGCCTAATACAAATTGAAATCAAATGTTGAGGAACATTTTCAGCAAAAGGAAATCTTAAACAATGGTATTGGGAAAACAATCAGGAGCAACTATTTTGGAAGGCCATTTGCAATTACTTCTACTTCAGGTACAAAGATGAAATAAGGACATTTGCAGACATTGAAAAGCTGAATAAATATATCACAGACAAAACTGAAGTGCAAGAAGTGTTTAAAAATATTATATAGGCACCAAAGAAATCTGGATCTACACAAAGACATAAAGACCATGACAGATGGTAAATCTATCAGTATGTATAAAATTCCTTTTAAAAATAACATAATTAAATGTAATTTAATATTTAATGCAAAAATAATAAAATATAGTGTGAGGTTTTTAACTAATAAAGAAGTAAAATATAACAAAATACCATTAAGACTGAGAGAGGAGAAATGAAAGTATAATATGATTTTACTTGAAGGATAATGTAATAAATGAAAGATATACAACATAAACTCTAAAGGAACTGTTATCGTTTTCTTACTCCTTAGTTCATCTCGTCTGAGTTCTTGTCCCATGACCAAGAAGAATAACGCATGCAAACATTGGAGAGTGAGTAAGGCAGAGTAGGATTTATTTAGTGACAGAAAAGCTCTCTGTAGTGAGAGGGGACCCAAAGAGGATTGCCAGAAATGGGGCTGAGTTCTGGGTCTTTTATGTGGCAGAGGCAAGGAAGACTTCTGTGGGTTCCACCCAAATGGGAGGGGTAAATTTCCCTGCTGGGGGTGTTGCATCTGTGCATGCCTGGGATTGGCCATAGCTACTACATCTTACCTATTACTCATGAGTGGCTAAGCAAATCCCACCAGGGAGGCCAAAACCACAATACTAATAATATTACAATTAGCTCTGGATCAAGGTTAATTTATTGTACTTGGGTATAAGTTGAGACGGTCCCTTCTGAGTAAACATCCTGGCATAAGAGGATGTCCTTAACTGTATTTCTTCCCCCTAGCTACAGGGTGTTACAGGTGTGGTCCCTCTCTATCTGCCAAGCTGGCCTCTAACTGCCTTCTCTCCTAGAACCACTAAGACCAAATAAACAAACAACATATCAAATAAACCAACAAATAACAAAATTTTGGAAAATCCTCAATTAATTCAAAATAAGCCAAAAATGAGTAAAAGTAACAGAACAAAAAGAAAATAAATAACAAAGTATTGGATTTAATACCAACTATGTTGACATTTATATTGGATGTAAATTATGTAAACAATTCAATTATGAAGTTGAGATGGTAAAATTTCAAGTAAAAATAAGTCATATATGCTGCCTAAAGAAATTAATTGATCATTAAAGTAGAGATAAATTAGAAATTAAAAATGGAAGACAAACTAGGTTAATACCAAATAACTAGAGCAACTATATTAATATTAGACCAATACATCCCAAAAAATATATTATTAGAAATAGAAGATAATTTAATAATGATAAAGTGGTAAATTTATCAAGGGCATAACAATTCTAAACATTTTTGCCTCTAATAACTTAGTTTTATAGTTTTTTGCATTTAATAACTTAGTTTTACAGTTTTTAAAACATAAATTGGTTTTTAAAAAGGCAAAAATAGATAAGTCAGCAATTAAAGTAAAATATTTCTACATTTCTCAATAATCAATTTAATAAGTAGAAAGACAATAAGGATATAGAAGACAAGTAACACTATTGAAAAATGTGTCCTAAATAGAATTTATAGTACCCTGCACCACATAACAGCACAATATACATTCTATTCGAGTATATTTATAGCATTTATTAAAACAGGTCATGTCCTTGAACATAAAAAAGCCAATAAACTAAAAGTAATTAAAGAATACAAGGTATGCTATTTGACCACAATGAAATTAAATAACAAATTAATAGTAGAAACTTCCTCACAAACTTTTAACATATTTAACACTTAAAAGAAAAAAAAACACTTATAGAAAGTATTTGTCAAAAAAAGGGGTCATAAGAAAATATTTGGAACAGTACAAAAATCTCAAAATCTGTGGGATTCAGCTGAAGTTGTGCTGAAAAGAAATTTATGAGACTTAACACCAGTATTAGAAAAGAAAAAAGTCTAAATTCAATGTCTTAAATTTTCACATTATTTTTTAAGTAAACCCAAATTTAAGGAGAAACACAGATAAAAGCAGAAACAACTAAAATAGAAGACATTAAAAAACACCAAAATCTGTATCTTTGAGATGAACATAATTGTTTAATTTCTAGTACACTGATTAGAAAAAAAGCCAGATACAAATTACTATTATCACAAATGAGAGAAAGAACACCACTAGCTATCATACAGACATTAAAAAGAAAGTAAGTTGATATTATGTATACTTCTTTCCAAAAATTTGACAACTAACATGAAATGAGTAATTTTTTTTAGCAGAACAAGACTCTCATAGCTTTTTCAAGAAAAAAAAAAATAGATAACCAGAATGTACTCATGCTTTGCTTAACAATAAGGATATGGTCTGAGAAATGTGTTGTTAAACAATTTGTCTGTTGCACAAACATCTTAGACTGTACTTACATAAAGCTATGTGTTAAAGCCTATTACACACCTAGGCTATATGGTACAGCCTATTGATCCAAGATTACAATCCTGTACAGAATCCTACTTTACTGAATAACATAGGCAATCAGAACACAATGGTGAGTATTCGTGTATGTTAACACAGAAAAGGTACAGTACAAAATGGTACAAAAGATTAAAAATGGTACACCTGTATAGGGCACTTATGATGAATGGAACTTGTGAGACTGGAAGTTGCTCTGGGTGAGTCAGTGAGTGAGGGGTGAGTGAATGTGAAGGCCTAGGACATTTCTGTAGACTACTATACACTTTATAAACACTGTAAACTTAGACTGTACTAAATTTACTTAAATTTTTTTTCTTCGAGAAATTAGCTTTAGCTTAATACACCACTTTTGCTTTATAAACTTTTACTTTTTATTTTATTTTACCTTTTTTTGAGACAGGGTCTCACTCTGTTGCCCAGACTGGAGTGTAGTGGTGTGATCTCGGTTCACTGCAACCTCCACCTCCTGGGTTCAAGTGATTTTACTGTCTCAGCTTCCTAAGTAGCTCGGATTACAGGCACCTGCCACCATCCCTGGCTAATATTTTTATTTTTAATAGATAGGTGGTTTCACCATGTTGGCCAAGTTGTTCTCAAACTCCTGACCTCAAGTGATCCACCCGCCTCAGCCTCCCAAAGTGCTGGGATTACAGGTGTGAGCCACCATGCCCAGCCAACTTTTACTTTTTAAAACATTTTTTACTTTTTTGTAATAACACTCATCTTAAAACACATATACATTATACAGCTGTACAAAAGTATTTTCTCTCTGTATCTTTATTATGTAAGGTTTTTCTATTTTAAAATTTGTTTTACATTTTTATACTATTTAAACCTTTTTGTTAAAAACTAACACACGTACCCATTAGTTTAGGCCTACACAGGGTCAGGAATATCAATATTACTATTTTCCAGCAGCACATCTTGTCCCACTGGTAGGTCGTCAGGGGCAAGAGCACACATGAGACTGTCATCTCCTATGATAACAATGCCTACTTCTGAAATATGGTTTGAAGGACTTGCCTGAGGCTGTTTTAACAGTTAACTGTTTTTTTTTAAAATAAAGTAGTACATTAGAAAATATTGATAAAAATTATAGTATGGTAAATACATAAACCAGTAACAAAAATAAGTATGATGCATTGTATATAATTCTATGTGCTATGCTTTTATAGGATTGGCAGCACAGTAGGTTTGTTAAACCAGCATCACCACAGACATGTGAGGAAGGCATTGCGCTGCCACATTATCATGGCCACAGTGTGTGTAGGCAATAGAAATTTTTCAGCTCCATTATAATCTTATGGGGCCACCATGTATATGCAATCTATCATTTACCAAACTATCATTTTGCTGTGCAAGACTGTACTACTAGATCTGCTAAAGAAAGTATGTAGTTAAAATTTCTAGCAGGAAAATCTCAAACTGAGATAGTTTCACGGGTGAAATCTGAGAAACACTTAGAAAAGAAAATCTGCAAATTCTATGCAAACATTTTCAGAAAATTGAAGAAGTTTGGATACTTCCCAAATTATTATTTGAAACCAGCATTACCATGATATTACAACCTCTGTAAAGTCATACAAAATAGTAAAATAATGTATCCAAATAGTGCATCAAGACACGTAAGAATTAACCTGGAGTGAAAAGCTGGTTTAACATTTGAAAATCAAATAAAGTGATTCACAATGTTAACAGAAAAAAAAAATAATAATCTCAATAAATGCAATTTATGTGACAAAATCTTACATAAAATTATATTGAAAACTCTTAACACACCAAATAGAAGAAAACTTTTGAACCAGAGAGAGCACCTCAAGAGAATGTAAAACTAATAAAGTATTTTATATGAAAATGAAATGTTTTACCTTAGGATCAGGAAGAAAACAGGAACATCTGCTCTTACTACTTGTATTCAAAATCTAACTTTAGGTATTAGTCAAAGCAGTGAGTCAAGAAAAATACCTTTTAAAAAAATTTTGTTTAGAAGGAAAAAGTAAGCCTATGTTTATTCACAAAAAAATTATTATCTCTGTAGAAAATCTTAAACTTCCTACAAAAATTTGTTATAAAATCTAATAAGTGACTATAATAATGTTGCATGACATATGTACGATCAATATAAATAAAATGACTGTATTACTAAGTAGAAATAAAATCTCCATGCACTGAAATAAAAAAGCCTTTTAATAAAAATGTAAAGTATTTAATATGCAGAAATATATTTATAAAAGATGTGGGTAATTGGAAAATAAAAATTATAAAATATTACTCAGAAAATAAACTCAATTGGTAGATATAACATGTTTATGAATTAAAATGTGTTTTATGGTTAAGATACCAATACTCCACTGATTGTTCACTATACTGAATTCGCATAATAGTTCTCAAGGCTTCCATGAAAAAGTTTTCAAGAATTATAAAATTTATAATTAAATAAATTACAACATTTATAATTATATAAATTATAAAATTTACATGTAAATGCAAAGAATCTAGAAAAAAATGAAAAATAAGAACAAAAAACAAGGACTTATACTGCCTGACATACTATACCTTTTTTTTTTTTTTTGAGACTGAGTCTCACTCTTTGGCCCAGGCCGGACTGCAGTGGCGCTATCTCTGCTCACTGCAAGCTCCGCCTCCCGGGTTCACACCATTCTCCTGCCTCAGCCTCCTGAGTAGCTGGGACTACAGGCGCCTGCCACTGCACCCGGCTAATTTTTGTATTTTTAGTAGAGACGGGGTTTCACCGTGTTAGCCAAGATGGTCTCGATCTCCTGACATCGTCATCCGCCCGCCTCAGCCTCCCAAAGGGCTGGGATTACAGGCGTGAGCCACCGCGCCCGGCCGACATACTATACATTTACACGAATCAAACAGTTCAGTATTGACAGGAAGATAAGCAAATGAACACAATGTAAAAGAAGAGTTCAGAAATAGATACACGTGTATATATGGTCAATTGATTTCTGACAAAAGTGTCAAAGCAATTTATTGGGGAAAAGATGGTCTTGTTAACAAATGACATTAAAACATGCAAAATAATATTGACTCAAATTATGCACTATATAAAAATAGAATGTCAAAATTCTCACGCCTGTAATCCCAGCACTTTGGGTGGCCAAGGCGGGCGGATCACGAGGTCAGGAGATCCAGATCATCCTGGCTAACACGGTGAAACTTCGTCTCTACTAAAAAAAAAAAAAAAAAAAAAAAAAAAAAAAAAATTAGCCGGGCGTCATGGCGGGCGCCTGTAGTCCCAGCTACTTGGGAGGCTGAGGCAGGAGAATGGCGTGAACCCGGGAGGCGGAGCTTGCAGTGAGCCGAGATTGCGCCACTGCACTCCAGCCTGGGCGGCAGAGCGAGACTACATCTCAAAAAGAAAAAGAAAACTTTTAGAATATGACATAGGAAAAATTCTCAGTGACCATGGGTTTGGCAATGATTTCTTAAACACAATGCAAATAGTATAAATAATACGCCAGGTGTGGTTGCTCATGCCTGTAATCCCAGCACTTTGGGAGGTCAAAGCAGTACCTTTAAGCACTTTAGGCAAGGAGTTTGAGACCACCCAGTCTCTACTAAAAACACAAAATTAGCTCAGCATGGTGGCCTGCACCTATTGTCCCGGCTATGCAGGAAGCTGAGGCACAAGAATCATTTGAACCTGGGAGGTGGAGGTTGCAGTGAGCTGAGATTACGCCAGTACACTCCAGCTTGGGAGACAGATCAAGACTGTCTCAATAAATAAATAAATAATAGAAAGAAATGTAAATTGTATTTTATCAAAACAGTAAAAATTAAAAATAAACTTTTGCTTTTCAAAGTTAAAAAAAACAAATTAAACATCACGTTTATTTGTAAAACATGTATCTCACAAAGGACTTCTACCTAAAATACATAAAAACCTCTTCCAATGAATAATAAAATAACCTCATACATAGTGTGCAAAATATTTAAACAGAATCTTCCCAAAATACCATATACAAATGGCAAAGAACTACATAAAATATTGCTCAAAATCATTAGTGATTTGAGAAATGAAGAACTGAACTAGATTGCCATACTACTAGTCTATTAATCATATATTTTCTGTATTTTATAATACTTTGATACTGTAGTCTTGTGGAGCAGAGGAGAACATTCCCCTGCCAAGGTTACCTGATTCCTAGAAATAGCAAACAGCTTCCCTGTGATCATACCTTTGATATACGAGCCAACCAATCCCAAATCTATAATCACATCTGCCTCCCTTTATCAAGCTTCTGCCATCTGCCATCTGGAATACTATCCTCCTTCCTTAAAGCACCCAGAGGCCAGAGCCAGGTGCTGGACAACTACAGACCACCGCTATACCCCTATCCAAGCCACATACATTTAGATCACCCATCCTTTCATAGAAACCAGAATAATGCTTTTAATTTTAAAACAACTACCCACAAAACAGAATGGCAAAGTTGAAAAGACTATATAAAGTGTTAGCAAGGATGTGAAGCAACTAGACCTCTTTTATACCACAGGCATTATTATAAAATAGTACAACTACTTTTTAAAGTATTTTGACAGTTTCACAAACATGAAAAATAAACTTACTATATTTGCTTCTAAACGTGTATCTAAGAGAAATGAAAGCATATGACCACAATGAGACTCGAACACAAGTGTTCATTTGTAATAGCCAAATGCGGAAACTACCCAAATGTTTCTCAACAAGGGAAACACATAGGGAAATTTAGGTATATCCATACAAAGAAACACTATTCAGTAATATAAATATGTAAACAATTGATTTATATGACTGATGTTTTGCAAAATAGTTCTGCAGAACAAAGAAGCCATGTAAAACTAAAACAAACTGATATAATCTATATACAATTTAAAACGTGCAAATTGTTCACAATGTAAGTAACAGATCAGTGGTTGTTGAGTTTTGGGACAGAGAGGAATGTGAGGATCGTCTGCAGAAAGTAATCACAAAGGGGCATGAGACACCTTTTAGGTGTAATGGTCATGTTTGTTATCTTGATATTACAAATCAATAGAGGTCTTACATGAAGAAGAAAGAAGAAAGAAAACAGATTTGAATTCTTCATATGTTCCCCAAAGTACCACAGATGTCACTTTTATATTTCATCTGTAATGTTGACTCATGTTGAAGATAAATATTATCAGCTATTACTATAGTTAATATTAATGCAGAAATATTTTTATTTTCATAGAAATAATTTTAAACTAAAGTGCTTTGGCTATTCTTCACATTCAAGGCAAGTCTGCACATGTTTATTTACTAATACAACACTTTATTAGCATTAATTGAAGATAATGTTATGTCAGTCACATTGATATTTTCTCCCATAGATTTTACTGAATGAACAACAATTAAAATATTATTAAGTAGAACAATCAATATTACATTTAACATTCTCTTCATTCTATTTTTTTATCTGGTAATCTATGGAACTGTTCTATTATCTCTGTTTTTGTAATATTTTTATGTTAATAGCTCATTTTGAAACAGCAGTAAAACAAAGTATCCAAATGTCTAATTAATTTATTAGATTTTATTTTAAGCAACTAATTGCTTTTAAAGAAATGTACTTAATTATATGAACAGCCATTTGAAAGCTTGTATATTTTGGAACTAAAATAACTTTATATTTATTTCAATCTTTTATTCTTTTAACAGTGTATTCGAAACATAATAAATAGGAAAAAATGTTCACACTTAACTGGAAGTTTATATTTAATTAGAATAATTACTCCCCAAAATACAACCTAATTTAACATAAAAATATCTTAAAAGTTGGTTTTCAGTCCTAATATCTGTTTTCTTTTTTGAGGATCTAGTTAAATGGTAGAATGCAAGATAACATCACTCTTAAATACTGCTATACTGATTAACTAAATAGTTACTACCATTATACTGCTACTAGCATACTTTCGATTTTTATGAAATATATTTAGTAGCCAATCAGTCATTTAACGAAGCAATCTTCCACTATCATACTAACCATGGAAAATATTAAATTTTTTGGAGTTTTTTCTTTTACACAGAATGGTTTTTAAATAATGTGGAACATATAGCAATATTCCCATTAAGGGTGTCTATCTGTGTATTTTTAATAAAGATTTCTAAAACATACATTGTTAAATTAAACTAAGTTTGGCCTTAGTATGCTGGTGTACTTTGAATCATAACTTCATGAATTATAACCTAACTAAATATCCAAGCTAACTGAAAGTTAAGAGTATACTTTTGTTACAAATATCTGAGTCTCAGTCATTCACAGCACCTAAGCTTCAATCACAAGTGACCAACTCATCCGACCATGTTCAAATAAGGCAAATGCAAAACTGTGACCACTCAAGCTGTTTCTGTACTTCATTTCCATTTTCTGTTCATAAATGCTGCCTGTCCATGTTGCACAGCAAAGTTCTCCGAATTTCTTCTGTCTCTGAGGGCTGCCTGATTTGTTGTTCAATTAAACTCTCTCACATGAAAAGCAAAACATGTCAGAAAAATTAAATTTAACAGAGTTTAATTGAATAACAAATTTAACATTTTAAATATTAAATTTTATATATTTATATTTTAATATATTTATAATATATATTTTATATATTTAATATTTAACTTATAAATATTTAAGTATGTATAAAATAAGTATTTATGAAGTATAAATATAAATATACTTATATGAGTATATAAAGCATATATAGATATTTGTAGGTATAGATCTATAAGTACCTTATAAATATATGAAGATTTATCATATGCAAATTTATATATATATAAACTTATACATTTATATGTGTACATAGGTAAGTACTTATACATATAAATGGTCAAAGATTAATTTGAACATTTGGGTTTAGGTGTTGTCCTAAATTCCATTAATGAAAATATTTTTAAGCATACAAAATTTTCATTCCTGAAATGTGTGATATCTGAAAAAAAAGTCACATTTTTTTAGAAAATTATGTTTACATGATACATATGTTTTGGGACATTCTACATTAGGCAATATTAAGATATTTATTATCATCATTAAAATAGTTTGTTAAAATAATCTCTGCCTGTATTATCTGCCCTTCATAAATTAAATAGGTTATTGGCATCATGCTTTGACAATATGAAGGTGATAAACCTAAAAATGTAAGAGGAAAAGTATCTCTTCATCATTCTGATTTCCCTTCTTTGGATAAATCCAGTAGCAGGATTGCTGGATCATGGAGTAGTTCTATTTTCAGTTCTATGAGGAACCTCCATACTGTTTTCCAGGGGTTATGACACTTTACTTTCCCACCAAGAGGGTGTAAGAATGCCCCGTTCTCCATATCCTTGCCAGAGTTTTAAAATTTTTGTCTTTTTTATATTAGCCACTTTAACTGGGGTGAAATTATATCTCATTATTGTTTTGACTTGTATTTCCCTGATGATTGTGAAACTGAACATTTTTTCATTTTTTGGTAGTCATTTGTATGTCTGCTTTTGATAAATTTCTATTCAGGTCATTTGCCCATTTATTCATTAGATTGTTTCTATTGATGGGATTTATTTTTGTAGTTGAATTGTTTGAGTTTCTTGTAGATTCTAGATATTAATCGCTTGTACAATGAATAGGTTGCAAATATTTTCTTCCATTTTACAATTTGTCTCTTCTTTCTATTGATTGTTTCATAGCTTTTGCTGTGCAGAAGCTTTTAAGTCACAATAGCCAAGATATGAAATAAATCTAAGCTTTCATCAACACATGAATGAATTTTTAAAATGTGGTATATATA
Source organism: Homo sapiens (assembly GCF_000001405.40). Taxonomy (NCBI): domain Eukaryota; kingdom Metazoa; phylum Chordata; class Mammalia; order Primates; family Hominidae; genus Homo; species Homo sapiens. The sequence continues at coordinate 86,160,138 of NC_000013.11, forward strand.
CATATTAGAATACTCTTCAGCCATAAAAAGTAATAAAATGTTGTCACTGTAGAAACATGGATGAGCCTAGAAAACAGTATGTTAAGTGAAAGAAGCCAGAAACAGAAAAATAAATGCTACATGTTTTCACTCACATGTGAAAGCAAAAAAAAAAAAAAAAAAAGAAAAAAGTTGATTTAATAGAAGCAAAGAGTAAAAATAGTGGTTATTAGAGGCTAGGGAATATAGGAGACAGGAGAGATATGGAAAGGTTGGTTAATGAATACAAAATTACAGCTAGACAGGATAAATCTGTCTATATAGTATATAGACTGGTGTTCTATATACTATGGGGTCTGTAGGGTGACTAGAGTTAACAACACTTTATTAAATATCTTCAAATAGCCAGATTTTTAAATGTTTTCAGCATGAAGAAATAATAAGTGTTTGGAAAAAACTGACATGGTAATTACCCTAAATGGATAATTATACATTATACACATTTATCATAATATCACATTGTAGCCCATAAACATGTACAATTACTATGTGTCAACTTAAAACAATTTTTAAAAACCACATTGTACACCATAATTTTATACAATATATACAATTATTATTTTCCAATTAAAATGAAATAAACAAGATACCAAAATAAAGAGAATACCTATAATTATTTGATAGGATTTCTTGGTTTCAAAACAGTTTATAGCATTAGAAAAATGAATCTATGCTACATTATTGTAAAGTTAAAACAAAAAGTACAGTAATAACTTTAAATAATTTTTGAAAATAAGTAAATTTTAAGTATAAAAGTTTTTATTTTACATACTCTTACTTATAGTAGTGGCTTACCTTTTTGAATAAAAAGATGAAGAAGAAAAAGAAGAAGGAAAAATCCTAATTAAAGAAAACATAAGATTATGGAAGTTTAGAGCTGAATGGGTTTTTCTGGTCTAATTCTACTCTTAGACACCAAGTAACTAAGATAAACTATATCTGTGGATGTTCAACAAGCTGATAGAGAAGTGGATCTAAAGCTAGCTAGAGCATCCTTAGTTTTATCCCAATTAATATGTGTTCATAAGCCTCAGCCCTCATGATAGCATTGTTAACTCTGAGAAGGCAGCAGCTATGTTCAATATATATTTTCCCTGTTTTTTACTTTCTACTTTCTGAAAGTGAATGACAATGCTTTCTTAGTTAAAAAAAATGGGTAGTTGTGCAAATATTTTTGATGATGTTGTATTATTTTAAGCCTTTCCTCAATCCCTCACTTAAAGATATTTTTTAAAAATATTATTTTATGTTTTAAAATCCAATAGAATATGATGATTTAGCAATAACCACTTTCATATAGTCTTTAATTTCTATCCATTTTTTCTGAGTTTTTTAAAAAAACTTGTTTTGATCTCCTGTGTCTTGTCCTTTCCCCCCTCCCCCCGCCCTCTGGTACACACCTCTGTTTCTATCTTTATGGCTTGCCACTTCTTTAATTTTTTTTTCATATAATGGGATGGAATGAAAAAACTCAAAGTACTTAATTTTAAAAACTATATAAGGCATGGAAAGGGAAATAAGCAAAAAAAAAAAAAGTTTAGTAGCTATTTTTGTAATAAGATTACTTGTAATATATTCCATCTCATAATTATTAGTTTCTTTCATTGAAAAATATTTTCCCTTTAAATATATTTCATTTGAGACAGGTGACTTACAAGCCTATGAGATACTTTATTCATATAATATATACATTCTCTCTATATACATATAATAAAATCTTCCCATTAAATATATATTCTTTAGTTTACAAAAATGATGAGAAAGATTGAGAGGTGTAGAACAGGTTTAAAATACTGACCTTACCTAAATTATCTCTATTCTGGAAATGAGCCAGCGTCAGAAGGAATAACAACATTCATCAAGTATAAGCATACATTTTTTTCTTCCTGCCTCACAATTCCATTCTTTGCTCCTGTATTTCACTCCTTTTCTTCCATTGTATTCACACGTGAATAAAAACGACTGTTTTGTTTCCTTGGCCTTATACTATGAGCTATTCAATATGTTGATTAGTTAGTCTGACAAAGTAAACACTGTTGAAATATAGATCAGAGAAGAAAATGAATATTCTTCTCATTTTGTAAACTTGAATTTCAATGCTAGACTTTAAGGGCTTTTATCATTAAGATTTAATTACTTGGGAAAGAAAAAAGACACATGAATCAGTTAATGTTACCAAAGCACCAGGGGTTCTATCTAGTCCTGCTGCTCCCCACACAGAAAGCGAATCACTGAGACAACAAGTATTGCCAAGAGAAAAGGCTTTAATCAGGTGCTGCCACTGAAGAGTTGGAAGATGAGTCTCAAATCCATCTCATTGACCAACTAAAATTAGAAGCTTACATATCAGGGAAAAAATTATAACTCTGTATGGGAAAACAGGAACTGAGGATGGGTAAGGAAGCATTTATGATGAATGAGATGCCTGGTGTCTCATTGTCTGGATGTGATTATATGGTTAAGTTTCAGTTCTTAGAGGCCTTGTGTCTCACTGGCTGGATCTGGTGAGTTTTAGTTATCTGATACTTTTCGAGAAGCCGAGGGGTTCTTTCCTGAGGAAAAAACTCAGATAAAACAAATGGAAGTTTCAACCTTTACATCCAGAAGGGAACAACAACAACAACAAAACAGTCTATGGGGCTATTGTATCAGTTTTATTAATTCTTTATCTTTGACTCATTCACTCCTTGCCTGAACATTTAATCAACTGCTATTTAAGCCAGTTTATGGGTTCATAATTGTGTAGAGGACATAAGAATCTATTTACGAAAAAACTTAGAAACAAGTATTGCAAACATATGACATAATTTCTCAATAAAATTATATATAGGGAACTCAAAGTTCTTGAAGATTTTGACCATTATTTTTAAATGTTAGGAGTTGAAATTTATCAGAGAATCTGAAGTCAAAGCTGTTAACTAAGGGAAACTTTCCTGTATTTATGTAAAACAAAATGAGTTACAAATGTTGTGGTAGAAGAGCCAGGGTGTGGAGTAGACACAGTTGATATCATGGTACATTAGGATGAACCAGAAAATAGTGTGAAATATAAAATTAAAAAAATAAAACATTTTGGCCATAAAGTTGTTGTATGCCACAATAAGTACATTACAATTTACTTCAAGAACAAGGAAACATTATTGAAATGTTCACGCATGGGAGTCTTATAAAAATGCTTCTTTGGAAATGTATCTCTAGTAGAATGCCCTAGGATTTCAGGATACCAGTGGCACAGTGAACTAAGATAAGTAATAAAATTTGGTGAATTTAACAGACAAAGTAAAAGATACAAAGTAAACAGAATAGATTAAGTCAAGTGATTGTTCACAGGAGAGGATAAGGGGAATGGGATGAAATAAGGCTATCAAAGTCTTCTAGTTGATAAAAAATTGTCAAGGTATTCTGTATATTTTACCAAAAGAAAGAAAACAAAAAAGGATCTGATGTCACCAGAAATAAGTTTAAGGGTGGTTTGGACCTTTTCAAAGTCACTATATTGAGGACAATCTCTTTTTTTAAACTTGATTCAAGAAGAAAATAAATTAGAAAAAATGTCATTGCTGTTGTTTTAGTTATTTAACCCAGCCTGATTTGTAACCAAGTTTTTATATTTGTTATTTTATAAAATGCCAGGAATGTAAAAGAGTAGATTAAATAGTAAATATATGTATGTATAAGAAACTATTCAATAACCAAGCCTTTTTATAATTAAAATTATTGTCACTTCTGATATTTGACATTTTCATAAGAAAAATACTGTCTTAATCTTTGTAAAACATTACTTCTATTAATAAATGTGAGATTGTATTGATCAAATTTGCAGCTGTAGATTTATTTCATATTTTATATTGAGATAAAAAAGAAACAGCCAACTTAAAATAGCAAAGACTTCTAATGTCATAGTTGAAATTAAAATAAAAATGATCACCCCTTTATAGCATTATGTGAACTTCAACATCTGATTAAAATCATTATTGTGGTTTCCATGAAGGATTGTAAAGTTTTAGTAGTAATTAAATAATACAGAAACAAAATTATTTTTAAAAACTGCATTCATTTTAATTTTCAAAAGTAATCAATAATTTCAATATTAAAAAACTTACATGTTTGTGTGTATATACACATACATATGTATTACAAATAAGTCTATTCATGAAGATACTTTTATATACAGGCACTGAGGAGATCAAGATAAGCATTAAAGGTCTATGACAGAAGAATGGCCTTCAGTGTGCACAGCCTATCTTAATAGAAAAAAAGAATATTTTTAAAAAATATGTCTGAAGCTGTAAGCAGACAATTTTCTATAATTTATCTTCCTAAATGCAAGCTATCATTATGTCTTTCTGAATAAAGAGATCAGAACGAATTATGTAAATGCTTGATTGTGTTATCAAGCACTCTTGTACCTTGGTAATCACTGCTTGATTCTTTGCAATTTGGAAATAATGACTTCTAGAATGCTGACAACCCATTTGTAATCTGTTCAAGGAATCAATACAAAGACTGCTTTATATGATTAAAGAGTATTCGCTAATTAAAGCATGATAACAAGATGTTGAGAAGCAGAAATAATTGTGCTTTATACGATTTCTCTTTGAGAAAATAGATATTATTTGAATCAAATTTGAACATAAACTCCCTAGCATTATGTAAAATAGCCATAGTATTATTTTTATTGACCTTGGTAAGATTTATGCATTCTTTTAATTCTTTTTATGTAATATGAAATCATAGAATGTTCCAATTTTTATTAAGTGAAAATCAATTTATATAGAACATATTACATCAGAGCATTATAGGTGAAAAACTTCATAAATCACATAAACTTGCTGAAAGTATGAACTTTCTTATGTTTATTTTTTATATTACAATTAGACTTTAACATTTGTGACTTCTCCTATACATTTTTTGTAATAAATGCATCACAAAATCCATTAATGTGCTGTCCACATACTCTTAGAGACTACATTCCGGAGAACCTGTAAAGGTTCTACTAAGTGCTATCTCCACAATGAACTTATATTAACACTCTTAGTATATACCCACTGTAAAATAACAAAGCAAGTCCCAAATGAAACAAAAGCTCTATTGTCTCATAAGGATCAAATTTATCACCTGTCATTTTAAACAAGTAATATAAAAGTATTGTCTAATAACAATTCTTGAACTTGAACATCCTAGGGCAGTTTTTCCACATGAGCAAATCTATGCAAATACAGTATTGCAAAGCTTACACAAAATGTATCCATAGTAAATCCCTGTAATTAAAATTCTTGAACTGTTATATACATACATATGTATGGGTATATGTGTGTGCATATGTGTATATATATATACATATATATATAAGGTATTTGTATATATATAAAATAAAGTGCATATATATAATAAAGGTATACATATATATTAAAGGTTGATGTGAAAAGTAGATGCAAACAAATTAAAAAGTAAAATAATAAATATAACTTTTTAATTTAGAAGTCATTTGAACTATATAAGAAAAGGTTAGAAAACTCCCTCAGAGTTAAAACTTTTAAAATCTTTTGTAATAAAGGTTCAAAAAATTCACTCGTTCATTCATTTGAACTTGATCTTTCTTAACTGAGATCTCTCTTATTTTAAAAGTCACAAAATAAGATTGATAATAGGAAGAATAGATAAAACAGAAAAATCAGAGAGGTGGAGAAAGGAGAGAAGAGAGGGTGACTGGGAGGGAGAAGACACAGAGAGAAAAATAAATCAGATGAGGGTAAACACTAGCATAGCAATAGTGATCTAGTTTCTAAATAAGAAAACATTGTATAATTTAAAATTTAATCTAGGTATCTTAGTCTTTTTGTGTTGCTGTAAATATCTGAGGCTGAGTAAGTTATAAAGAAATGAGGTTTATTTGGCTCATCGTTCTGCAGGCTGTACAAGAAGCATGTTGCCAGCATCTGTGTTTGGCGAGAGCTTCAGGCTACTTCCACTCAAGGCAGATGGTGAAGGGGAGCCAGGGTGTTAAACTCACATGATGAGAGAGGGAGTGAGAGAGCAGAGGAGGTGCCAGGTGCATTTCAACAGCCGGTGTTTTTGGGGAACTAACAGTGAGGACTCACTCATATCCAGAAGACTGGCACCAAACCATTTATGAGGGATCTGCCTCCATGATCCATACACCTCCCACTAGGCCCAACCTCCAGCACTGGAGACTAAATTTCATCATGAGACTTGGAGGGGCCAAACAAACCATATGCAAACCATACATAGCACTGAGGTATGGCTGGAATAACAAACAATGCAAACGTATTTCTATCACATTTGTTAAACTTACAAGTGCTAGCAGTTTTTCTGTAGATGCAGTACACTTTTGTTCACAGAAAATAAAAACACTTTTAATTTTTTCTGGATGGCTTATCTTCCTCTCCCTCTCCCTCTCCTTCTTCTCCTTCTTTTTTTGCCTTATCACACTGGCTGGAACAACCATAAAAATAATGAGAATCAACACCCTTGGCATGTTACCTATCCTAGAGGAAAAGTCATCCTTCACCACTGAATATGACGGTAGCCTCAAGATCAAGATTCCTTTTTATGAGATTGAGAAATTTATCTTTTATTCATAAGTTGCTAAGAGCTTTTATCAAAAACAAATTTTCTTTTTTTTGATAGATGTATACAAAGGCATATAATGTATTATTTATTTACGTATAATCATTATTTTTTCTTAATGAATGTGTGTCAGTTATTTTATTTTCTTTTTGTAAACCTGGTTTTGCATTTTTTTTATTATACTTTAAGTTTTAGGGTACATGTGCACAACGTGCAGGTTTGTTACATATGTATACATGTGCCATGTTGGTGTGCTGCACCCAGTAACTTGTCATTTAACATTAGGTATATCTCCTAACGCTATCCCTCCCCCCTCCCCCCACCCCACAACAGGCCTGTGTGATGTTCCCCTTCCTGTGTCCATGTGTTTTCATTTTTCAATTCCCACCTATGAGTGAGAACATGCGGTGTTTGGTTTTTTGTCCTTGCGACAGCTTGCTGAGAATGATGGTTTCCAGCTTCATCCATGTCCCTACAAAGGACATGAACTATCACTTGTTATGGCTGCATAGTATTCCATGGTGTATATGTGCCACATTTTCTTAATCCAGTCTATCATTGTTGGACATCTGGGTTGGTTCTAAGTCTTTGCTATTGTGAATAGTGCCACAATAAACATACGTGTGCATGTGTCTTTATAGCAGCATGATTTATAATCCTTTGGGTATATACCCAGTAATGGGATGGCTGGGTCAAATGGTATTTCTAGTTCTAGATCCCTGAGGAATTGCCACACTGACTTACACAATGGTTGAACTAGTTTACAGTCCCACCAACAGTGTAAAAGTGTTCCTATTTCTCCACAAACTCTCCAGCACCTGTTGTTTCCTGACTTTTTAATGATTGCCATTCTAACTGGTGTGAGATGGTATCTCATTGTGGTTTTGATTTGCATTTCTCTGATGGCCAGTGATGATGAGCATTTTTTCATGTGTCTTTTGGCTGCATAAATGTCTTCTTTTGAGAAGTGTCTGTTGCTATACTTCGCCCATTTGTTGATGGGGTTGTTTTTTTCTTGTAAATTTGTTTGAGTTCATTGTAGATTCTGGATACTAGCCCTTTGTCGGATGAGTAGATTGCAACAATTTTCTCCCATTCTGTAGGCTGCCTGTTGACTCTGATGGTAGTTTCTTTTGCTGTGCAGAAGCTCTTTAGTTTAATCAGATCCCATTTGTCCATTTTGGCTTTTGTTGCCATTGCTTTTGGTGTTTTAGACATGAAGTCCTTGCCCATGCCTATGTCCTCAATGGTATTGCCTAGATTTTCTTCTAGGGTTTTTATGGTTTTAGGTCTAACATTTAAGTCTTTAATCCATCTAGAATTAATTTTTGTATAAGGTGTAAGGAAGGGATCCAGTTTCAGCTTTCTACATATGGCTAGCCAGTTTTCCCAGCACCATTTATTAAATAGGGAATCCTTTCCCCATTGCTTGTTTGTGTCAGGTTTTTCAAAGATCAGATAGCTGTAGATATGCAGCATTATTTCTGAGGGCTCTGTTCTGTTCCATTGCTCTATATCTCTGTTTTGGTACCAGTACCATGCTGTTTTGGTTACTGTAGACTTGTAGTAGAGTTTGACGTCAGGTAGCGTGATGCCTCCAGCTTTGTTCTTTTGGCTTAGGATTGACTTGGCAATGCGGGCTCTTTTTTGGTTCCATAGGAACTTTAAAGTAGTTTTTTCCAATTCTGTGAAGAAAGTCATTGGTAGCTTGATGGGGATGGCATTGAATCTATAAATTACCTTGGGCAGTATGGCCATTTTCATGATATTGATTCTTCCTACTCATGAGCATGGAATATTCTTCCATTTGTTTGTATCCTCTTTTATTTCATTGAGCAGTGGTTTGTAGTTTTCCTTGAAGAGGTCCTTCACATCCCTTGTAAGTTGGATTCCTAGGTATTTTATTCTCTTTGAAGCAATTGTGAATGGGAGTTCACTCATGATTTGGCTCTCTGTCTGTTATTGGTGTATAAGAATGCTTGTGATTTTTGCACATTGATTTTGTATCCTGAGACTTTGCTGAAGTTGCTTATCAGCTTAAGGAGATTTTGGGCTGAGACGATGGGGTTTTCTAGATATACAATCATATCGTCCGCAAACAGGGACAATTTGACTTTCTCTTTTCCTAATTGAATACCCTTTATTTCTTTCTCCTGCCTGATTGCCCTGGCCAGAACTTCCAACACTATGTTGAATAGGAGTGGTGAGAGAGGGCATCCCTGTCTTGTGCCAGTTTTCAAAGGGAATGCTTCCAGTTTTTGGCCATTCAGTATGATATTGGCTGTGGGTTTGTCATAGATAGCTCTTATTATTTTGAGATACGTCCCATCAATACCTAATTTATTGAGAGTTTTTAGCATGAAGAGTTGTTGAATTTTGTCGAAGGCCTTTTCTGCACCTATTGAGATAATCATGTGGTTAGACCTTTTCTGCATCTATTGAGATCATCATGTGGTTTTTGTCATTGGTTCTGTTTATGTGCTGGATTATGTTTATTGATTTGCGTATGTTGAACCAGCCTTGCATCCCAGGGATGAAGCCCGCTTGGTCATTTCAATATTGTCAAATGCTTTTTCTGCATTACGATCACCTTTTATTTATATTATTATGAATTATTGATATCAATATTGAAATGTTAAACTTTGTGATAAATGATTATTATTTTTTGAGATGGAGCCTCGCTCTGTTGCCCAGGCTGGAGTGCAGTGGCGCGATCTCAGTTCACTGCAACCTCTGCCTCCCTGGTTCAAGCAATATCCCTACCTCAGCCTCTCGAGTAGCTGGGATTACTGGTGACTGCCACCATGCCCAGCTATTTTTTTTTTTTTTGTATTTTTAGTAGAGATGAGGTTTCACCATGTTGGGAAAGCTGGTCCGGAACTCCTGACCTGAGGCAATCTGCCCCACTACGCCCCCCAAAGTGCTGGGATTACAGGAGTCAGCCACCACGCCTGGCCAATAAATTATTTTTAAAATATATTGTTGGATTTGATTTGCACCTTTTAAAAGTTAACAACGTCTTTTTTTTTTTTTAATAGAGTCTTGCTTTGTTGCCCAGGCTGGTGTGCAGTGGCACAACCTTGGCTCACTGCAACCTCCACCTCCTGGGTTCAAGTGATTCTCCCGCCTCAGCCTTCCAAGTAGCTGGGATTACAGGCATCTGCCACCATGCTTGGCTAATTTTTGCATTTTTAGTAGAGATAGTATTTCATCATGTTGGCCAGGCTGGTCTCAAACTCCTGACATCAGGTGATCTGCCCGCCTCGGCCTCCAAAAGTGCTGAGATTACCCGCCTCGGCCTCCAAAAGTGCTGAGATTACAGATGTGAGCCACCACACAAGGCCCCAACAAAATCTTGTTAAAGAATAATTTTAGATTTACAGAAAAGTTGCAGAGTACAAAGAGTTTCTATATACCCCTCACTCAGTTTTTCCTTCTGTCACCTCAATTAAATACTCTAGTAATGAGGAGATTGTACACATCCTTTCTGCTAACAACTTTTAGGCCAGAGCTAGGCACATAGTACTACCTCACCAGAATATGGCAAGTAAGAGAATCTAAACATCCACTGGAATACAGAGAGCCAGAAATTACCTCAGAATTCTAATTCACCAGGGCTGCAAATGGGGAGCCATAAGAGGCTGAGTTTCTCCAAAAACGTTTTATTTCAATAGCACTATGTCATAAAACTTTTAGAAGACAGAGCAGGGTTTGCACTTTTGCATATGGTAATATTATAATCATTAGCTACTGCTGTACAGCAGTTCTCCTCTACAACAGTTTGCTCTTTCTTAGAGGAAAAATTTAACTTCAAGCCTTTGAGCTGTTACATCCAAGTCTCATTAAAGGGAAGACTGAGGATTTAAGAGAGAAGGATAATAATTTTCTCGTATTTGTATACGCTTTATATTTTTAAAGTATCATACAAATATTGGCCTTTCTCAGACTAAACTGATATTGAATAGCTGATAGAGAAGGCAGTGTAATAGATTTCCTGCGTCTGTCACTTCCATCTGTATGTTTCATACATTCTGAAAGTCTTTTATCTAATTATGTCTCTGTACTTTCATTTTTTAGCTTTCAAGTTATGTCTTTGTGTCCATCCTGCTTCCAAATTACATTGGTAAGTAGAAATCCTTTTTTAGCTCGTTGCTTATAATATAAAATACATTTGATTTTAAAAGGCATCATTAAAATATTCTGTATTAAGTTGAAGCCACATTTTCAGGAGAAAATACTCAATTTCATTTCTTTGAACCATCATTTTAAATGTTTGTATTTTACATTAATCTGTCAAATATGTATATTCATATATGTTTATATATTTTATGATATAAAAACTTATACCATAAAATATCAAATACCAAAAACTTACCTGTAGAAATGGATGATTACCACACTTCTTAATATTTTACATTCACTTTGAGCAACAGAAGGTTTGTAAAGTAGGGTTACATTTCCCTCTTAATGTTTTATTGACTCTATATGATTTCTTCGGTCAATAATATTAAACAGTCAAACATGTAAGAGTGATTTATTGTACTGTATATTAACAAGTCATAAAATTAAGATAATTATGGAGAATAAATAAGGAAATGTGATTAAAATATATCAATTGGCTCTCACCCCAAATTTTCATTGTTTTTCAGTGTTTCAAAGGCTTTTATTCACGATGGAACAATACTTTTTAAGTCAGAAATAACAAAAAATGAAATAAAATTTTTAACTCTGTATTCTAAAATAGGTTTTTGAAAGCCAACACTTCAGAAAAGCTAGAACTATTTTAAAAATGTAAAATGCTATTTTCCATAAGAATAAGCAAGGTTATTTCATAAATAGACTGGAAAGATAAATATAGCACCTTTACAATGATATACATTTTTCTGGTGAAGGAAAAAATTTAGAAGCATAAATGAAACCTAAAGAGAGGTATATTACTCTGGCTTAAGTCTCAGCTAAGTATTAAAGTGGGATAATAAAATTATGATAACATTTGGAAACTCCAGGACAGATCAGTGTGCACTTTGGTTTGTAGGTGAAGCTCAGAGGTGACAAGCCTCACTGAGGAATCTTTCAGTTAACAGCATGGCGTTCAGCCTTTGAGTAGAAAGGGTAGCATGCTGCGTTTATATACAGACGTCCAGAGCAAATGGGGTGACTTATACACATAGAGAATGTAGAATGTGGTAGTAGGAGGTTAGAACAGGTGACATGCCTGCCGTGTTTACACACAGAGGTATAGAGTCAACTTATTCTGAAATGAAAACCTGCAGGAAACACCAAAAAAGCACACATGAGCGAGAAAGTACAAACAAGGACGTGGATAAAGTTTGGTTCTGCAGAAGACCTTTAAAGTAGATAGATGACAAGAAGCAGAGGGTTTGCCTTTTTTTTCCAGGATAAAACTGAAGCCCCCTCCCACCCTGCATTCCACCAGTATAAAATTAAATCAGTATTTGAGAAGATATGAAAGGAAGCAGTCTGAAAAACATGACAAAAACACTAAATGATCTAAAACAAAATGACAGAACTTCCCTTAATTTTGTAAAACATAATAGTGAATAGTCAGTATAAGGGTTTCATATATGTTTAAAAATATATCCAATGATTGTGAAGGAGACCAGAGGAATTACTGTATGCCTTTTCAGTGTCATGGTAAGCCTTATGTGGCAACGCACACTCTCCATCCCTACTCAGCATTTTCTGGTCCAGGGGTTTCAGTGTACTGTTTTGTATTTTTATACCTTATTATTGATTAGGGTATTTTACATTTCGGTAATTAAGCCTGTTAACTAGTAAAAATATGATGGAGATGCACATGAACTATGTAAGCTAGAATTGCAGTTAAGCTTTGTCTCTAAGAAAATCCCCAAATTTAAAGTTTTCCTGTCCTACTGAACATTAATTTTGTATCTAAGTCATTGTATTCAAGCATTCTTTCTTTCAATCACTATAAATGCTTCATACTCTCACTTTTTCACTGAATCAGTCTTATTATCATGATAGTGCCTCCATTAATGAGCTAAGATTTGTTTTTTACTCTCTCTCATTATGGTTTCAGAATTTAAAAAATCAAATTATTGAAAACTATTTGTAGTTGCTATAAAATTTCCAGGGGAAAATTTAATATCACATAAAGTGCACAGATAAATTAATACAGTATGTTTAGTTGGTGATTTGCTCTTGTTTTTACAACCTATTTCAGAAAAGAGATAATACGGTGCTTTTGAGTGGGAGAAGTTGAGGGACTTTGGAAATTAGTCCATAAATTATCAAAACTACAAAAACAAAACAAACGAAATATTTAATTCAACTCATGCCAAATGTTGTTGCCTTGAACACAAGCTTCAGCTCTTGCCCAACTGCTTTTGTATAATCCCCTGTCATCTTGGCCTAAATTCCAGCATATTTGCTGGAAATGGACAATATGTCAAATGATTAAGTTCATACCAGAAGCCACATGGTGCCAGAACTTTCATGTAATTTGAGATTGCATTTTAAATATGTCCATTATCTCATATATATTATAGATCTATTCTTGAAAAGCATGTAGGCTTTGTGTTTAAGTAATTTGAAAATCTATGAAAATGGCGGGATGCTAAATGAGTATATACAAAGGCAGAATGGTTTATAATTCTGCCTGTTAAGCTCCAGCAGGTATGCTGGACCAGGAAAAAATGTTGTAAAAGACAGTGAAGAAAAAACAAATCAAGATTTTTTTTAGCAGTGATATCTGTTCTTAAATAATTCCACATGGGAGTTCTTATCACCCCCCTTGCACAATCCTTGCTGATATTAATATAAGCAAGGACTGATACACCATTAAAATAGTTGTCCTTCATTTGTTTTCATTATTCACATATACATACACAATCTACCCTAACTCTAACTCTAACCCTTACAGCTACATGTGCAATACACCACAAAATTGAAGGATACTAGGACATCTGCATATCCGTGGAACCATTATCATTTATCAAAATCATTGGACAGACTTTTTACTTTATATATTTATGTCAAACAAAAATAGAAACTAGCTTTAGCACAGTTTAAACATTAGCAGTCAGAAGTAACATAAATATGACATAGCAGATTGCATTCATAATTATGAAAGAATAAAACTATAAGAGTGAAGATTAGTTATCTACTTATCACAGTTATAAATATTGACTATTTTCAAGTATATATGCCAGATAAAGCACAGCACACTGTTAAACACATAGTATGCATTCAATAACTACCTTATAAAAGACATGTATACACTGTAAAATTTTTTAAAAAGTGATTCCAGGTATTTTTGTGTATCTTTGTCTAGCTGTCATGTAGTGATGATGTTATTTAAAATAAAATCAAGATTCCTTAAAATCTGTTACATTGCTAATGGAAGACAATTTGGAACAAGACATATAATAATATAAAAGTGAAAAAACCCTACAATTTTATAAAATTGCATAGTGTGAATCTAATCTGTAACATAGGAATTGTTTTATACTGGAAGAGATAAATGTTGGTTAAGATACAATCTAAAATCTATTTTACCTATATGGGAAAAAATATCTTGGCATGCATAACACTCAATGACTCAATAATTTGAGAAATTATTATAAAAATATTGCTTTAATAAAGATTAATGTCCATTCACATCACGTTAGCAGGTTTTTAAGTAATCTGACATTCATAATAATCTCCAGTTGAGAGAGAAATCACCACAAAGTTACACACTCTGATTCTCATTTCAGGACATACTGGTGTATGACATGGTGTGTACATTAACAGATATATATGGCTAACTCAAATTAGCAATAAGAAATAGGTGTGAAGATTAAGAAAGCTTCTTGCAGCTACATCAAGGGGAAAGCCACAGAAAATGTTATTGATAGGCAACTAACATAGCACGAGGAAATGCTAAAATGTACAAACACCCAGAGGCTAAAATGTGGTGGAAGATTCTACAAGAAGGAGAATACAAACCTCTTAATGTGTGAACATCTTGCCATTCATGAAACTGACCATAGGATAACCAGTGGTGAGAGATGCTGTTTTGCTCCTGAGTGAGGCAGCAAACACCAAGAAGTCACTTTTCTTAAATCAAAATGAATCAAGAAGATAATTCTCTAGGCAGACTATGGAGCTCCTTACTGGGCTGCTGAGGATCATCGAATAAACAGTGAATTGGAGGATAACATAGAATAAGGCACTTAATCCTTCTGCATATTTTGATAATGATTAAAGTGTCAAGGGCTGTACATTTTTCACTTCACTACAATACAAAGGAAATTTGAAGTGGAAAATATAAAACCAATTGAAAAAAGAGGAAAGTGGGAGAGAAAATGAATAACAACTTCATTCCATGAATACTACCTGTCCTTACAGTGCTTTTTTGTAAATGCCACAGCCAAATGAAAAAGAGGCAGCACCAGTGTCTAGGGATGTAGTGCCAAATAACACGTCAAGAATTTTACTTAGGGCAAAATAATGGATCCTATAGGTCATGGATTTCAGGTTCTCTTTGGATATCACTGAAATGGGCTTTGATTCTGCCTCTTCTGGAGTTAGAAAGGCTTTTGGTGGAATGACCCTAATTTACTACATTAACTAGGATGTTCTCTATTTCAATATCATATTACAAAACAATTTCTAATTGTGCCCACTTTAACTCTTGCAAGTGTCTCAATTTGGAAGACAAATTATAGGGTTAGCCAAGCTGTGGGGCTTGTAGTGGTTTCATATGTGCCCAATGTCTTGAAAGAACAGGTGCGGTAAAATGACAGGCCAATGAATTAAGGCATTTTGTTATAGGAGCAAGATTATAGTAAGACATAGCCAATGTCAAAAATGAGAAATATGACATTACTACTAATACTATAGACATTACTGAATTATAAGAAAACATCATGAAACTTTATATCAATGAATTCGAATTCAATAAAATAAAGCCAAGTGTAGTGGCACATGCCTGTAATTTCAGCCATTTGGAATGCTGAGATGGGAGTATTGCTTGAGCCCAAGAGTTCAAGCCAACCTGGGCAACATAAATAATAATGTTTATGATATAATAATGTCCAAATAAAGAAATACATGAGTAAATAAATTCAATGAATTTAAATGTAATAAATTACTAAAAAGGTATAAATTACTAAGAAGTGGAAAATTAAGCAATCTAAATAGCCTTATATCTCACCAAAAGATTGACTTGTAATTAAAAACCTTTCAAGAAGAAAACTACAGGCACAGATGGTTTCAATAATAAATTTTATAAAACACTCTGGATTAAAAAATCAAGTCTAGGCTGGGTGCGGTGGCTCACACCTGTAATCCCAGCACTTTGGGAGGCCAAGGTGGGTGGCTTATGAGGTCAGGAGATCGAGACCATCCTGGCCAAGATGGTGAAAACCCATCTCTACTAAAAGTATAAAAATTAGCAGGGTGTCGTGGTGCACATCTGTAGTCCCAGCTACTCAGGAGGCTGAGGCAGGAGAATCACTTGAACCCAGAAGGCGGAGGCTGCAGTGAGCAGAGATCGCACCACTGCACTCCAGCCTGGGTGACAGAGCGAGACTCTATCTCAATAAATAAATAAATAAATAAATAAAGTCTATAAATATTATTCCAGAAAATAGAATTAAATTCTTTTCAATGCATTTCCTGAGGACAGATGTTACTGATAGTAAAACTTAACAATGACATGACACAAGAAAATAAAATATCAATGGGCTGCAGGTCGTTGGAAAACAAATTTAAAAAAAAAGAAAAAATATAGACAAATACCTCTCTTTACTATTCTTGCAAAGCAACATTTTAGCACATTAAGTCTTACATTATATTAAGCAATAATACATTTTAAAAAGTGTGCTTTATCCCACTAATGCAAAGTTAGCTTAATATTCAAAATTAACCAACACTGAATTAGCTTTAAAACAATTATTTTTATTTTATATAAATTTTAGCTTAAGAAAGAAATTTAATGAATCTTATCATATAAACTAAGAATAACAATTACAATGACATATATCTAATGTAGGGAAAACATTGCAAAACTTCAACATTCACTTCTGATAAAAATTCTCAGCAAGAAAAGAACAGAAAAGAACTTTCTCACCCCAATAAAGAGATTCTATGAAGTTCCTTCACATAATAACTTATTTATATAGTTATATAATATAGTTACTTGTGAAAAATTGAATGTTTTTCCCTAGCTTAGAGAACAAGCATTGTAAACATGGCTTTTCAATACTGTACTTGAGGTCCTACAACCATATGATATGACAAAAGTTAAATAAAAAGATATTCAAGTTAGAACCAGAAAAGTAAAAGATACATTATTTGCAAATTGCATCATCATCTATATAGAAAAATATAGGTGTAAATATAAATAAAAATTCAGCCAAATATATAAGGTTGGCAAGATTAGAGAATAAAAGGTAAATAAATTCTCATACCGTCTTCCTTCAGTATCTGTGAAGAATTTTTTTCAGGATCCCCCACAGACACCAAAATTTATGAATGCTTAAGTCCCTCACCTAAAATGGTGTAATATTTGCATATAACCTACACTTCTCTTCCTATATACTTTAAATTATCTCTAGATTACTTATACCACCTAAAAAATGTAAATGCTATGGAAATAGTTATTATACATTTTAAAATATTTTATTTGTATTATTTTCACTGCTGTTACTTTTATTGGATTTTTTGAATGTATTTTTTATCTGTGGTTGGTTGTAGCTGCATATGTGGAAGCTGTGGATATGGAGGGCCACTGGATTTCTTTGTTCTTGCCACAAAAACTATCATAAATTAAAATTTAGAAAACAGTGAAAGTAACAGTAGAATATATGAAATAAACAATGAAATATGCTCAAGAATTGTACTTTGAAAACTAAAAATATCAGTGAGAAAAATTAAAGAAGACCTGAATAAATAAGATATAAATTATGTGCATTTAGTGGGAAGACTAAAAATTGGTAAAATATTAATTCCCCCAATTGAAAAGCACTTGGAATCAAATTCTCAGCAGGCTGTTCTATAAAACTTTTCAAGGTGATTGCAAAATGAATATAGAAATTTCTATCACCTAAAATAGCCAACACAAGCTTGACAATAAAGAAAAAATATTCCATTGATTTTATTATCTGATATTAAGGCTTATTATAAAGTTGCTGTAAGCACCAACACAAAATAGATTTCATAAATAGGCTCCATATATAATTAACTATTATTAAATGAAGATTACAAGGTAATTCAATGGAAAAAGGATACTCTTTTCAAGAAATGGTATTGGGCCAATGGCATAACCATGTGCGAAAACAAGTACCTTTGCCTCTTCACTCCACACATTAAAATCAGCATACAATGAATCAGAGGATTTCATCCCTAGTTACTATTCTCACTTGAGGTAGATTTTTCCACTCCTCTCCCTATTCCCAGGGGACATTTGACCATGTCTGGAAACATATTTTGGTTGTCAAAATTGGGAGGGTGTATTAGTCCATTTTTGCATTGTCATAAACAAATATCTGAGACTGAGTAATTTCTAAAGAGGTTTAATTGGCTCATGGTTCTACAGGCTGCACAGGAAGCATGATGCTGGCACCTGCTCAGCTCCTGGGGAGGCCGAAAAAAACTTACAATCACTGTGGAAGGTAAATGGGAGCAGGCACGTCACATGGCCAGAGCAGGAGCAAGAGGTACCACATACTTTTAAAGGACCAGATCTCAGGACGACTCACTAAGGCAACTCACTAAGGCAAGGACAGCACCAAAGAGATTGTATTAAACCCTTCATGAGAAATCTGCCCCCATGATCCAATCACCTCCCACCAGGCCCCACCTCCAACAGTGAGGATTACATTCCAACATGATATTTAGATGGGGACACACATCCAAACTATATCAGAGTGGTTGCTACTAGCATTTAGTGGTTAAAGTTAGAGCTATGAAACAAACAATGAATAGGAAAGATTTCCATTACAAAGAACTATCCAGCAAAATATCAATTGTGCTGAGATTGAGAACCTCTGACCTAGATGAAAGAAAGGCAACTATTAAACTTCTAGGAAATAAGATTATAAGACAAAATCTTGGCTACCCTGTGTTAGGCAATGGTATCCTAAAAGAATGATAGACATAAACAATTTAAGAAAAAAAGCCTTGGACTTTATAAAATATGAAAATGTTTGATATTCAATATTCATTGCTAAGAAAATGAAAAGGGGCATCATGAGTTTATAGACAAAATTTTAAAGTGGCTACCTGGCCAAGAAATTGCACGGAAAATATATAAAGAACACTTACAGCACACAACTATGGAGAAAAACTACACAATTAAAATTAAAGCAAATGATTTAAATAGCTCAACCAAAGAGATATATGCTCAATGTTAGTATCAGAGAAATGAAAATTAACAATAGAATATTACTGTGGGTAACTCAAAGATTGAACGTACCTAGTGTCAGTAAGGAAGTGAGTTAACTAGGACTCTTATGCACTGCTGCTGGAAATTTAAATAGGCACAAACGTTTTGTATAAAATCTGGCAGTTTCTTGAAAGGTTAAAAATATACCTGCCATGTAACCCATTCATTGCAGTACTAGTTGTGTAATAGAATAGTCAAAACACATTGCTACACAAAGACATAAACATAAATGTTCATGGAGCTATATTTTTATAGCCATAAACTGGAAACAACTGAAGCATTCATCCATAGGTGATTCTGTACTGCCATGGAGTACTACTCATTACCCAAAAGAAAAAAAATGTTGTTACATTTAACAACATAAATAAGTTTCAAAATAATTGCACTGAGTGAAAAGAGACTGGCAACACTAGTGCATAGCTTTAAATTCAATTCTTATTAAATATTGAAACTAAATAAAGATAAGTCCATTTCTACTAAAGTGAGAGAAATCAGACCAGTGGTCACCCAGGGATCTTGCAGCTAAAGGCATTTATAAACTGAAGAATATACTTTGAAGAATGGTAACATCTTCACAATATGTTATCCTGCAATGCCAGTCACATAAAAGTAGAGCACTTAAAATGATGTACAGTACATAATACTTGGTAATGTTAATAAATGACTATATTACTGGTTTATGTACTTTTTATGGTATATATTTCATTGTTATTTCAGAATGTATTCCTCTTTATATGTAAAAAAATTACTGTAAAACTTCCCTGGGCAGGTGTTTCAAACTGTATTTCAGAAGTAGGTATTGTTACCATAGGAGATGTCACCCTCATGTGTGTTATGGCTCTTGAATATCTCCCAGTAGGGTAAGATGTGGAGGGGGAAGACAGTGATATTGATGATCCTGACACCGTGTAGGACTAAGTTAACATGTGTGCTCATGTCTGAAGTTTTTAAGAAAAAGGTTTAAAAAGTTAAAAACTAAAAATATAGAATAGTACACATTTGAATAACAAAATCGCTTAGTGATGCATTTCTCAGAATGTATTCCCAACATTGAGCAATGCAGGGCTCTGTGTGTGTGTGTGTGTGTGTGTGTGTGTGTGTGTGTATAATTACCTTTTTCCTTCTTATAAATAGGCAAGTTTACCATATCACTACATTCTAGGGAAATGTATACTTATGTGCCCTAGAATATATGAGTGTGTATATATGTGTGTGTGTGTGTGTGTGTGTGTGTATACATATACATATATTATATGTCCTAAAACATATATATAAATTCTAGGGAGTTCTAGGGAATACCTATATATTTTATATATAATCATATACCATAAAATACCATTTTTTTTATGGTACAAAACGCAATGTGTCCTTTGTCTTTTTTCATATTGGGAAAATGTCTTCATTGTGGAGGCTTTTGTTTTCCTCATCCCTCCTGAAGATCCAAATTAACTTACATGCTTCTTGTAGCCAGTACAAGTTTAAATTTCTATGTATCACAAATTCATGCTACATTACCATGTGAAAACTTTACAAATGGAACTAACCTTAGACACAGTAACGTTAATAGGGTCAAATGTTTCTAGATTTGTTATAGAGCTGTTATTATTTACAGCGTTCGTCATTGCCTTTTTTTTTTTAATCAGAGACCTCTTTACTTGTGATAGGTTGGTGATACTCAAAAAATATACAAATATAACTTCCACGTGTATTACATGGAAGTCCTGAGTCCTTGCACATTTTGAAACTTATTTCGTTATTTACTTAGAATTAATCCATGGTTTAGTTGGGTATAGAGTTGTAGGTTCAATATACTTTTTTAAAAAGTATTTACCTAGTTTGTGTATTTGTTTTGTTTTGTTTTCTGTGAACATTTTAGAATATTGTTTTTTTCTTTTTAAAATTTGAGTTTTCTCCAGTATTGATTATTATAGGTGCCATAAATACTTTGCATTTTTTGACATTTTGATAGTATTTCTTTATCTGAACATAAGAAACTTTCAGTACCTTTTCTTTAAAAAGAAGAAAGATCTCAAACAAATAGCCTGACATTACACTTCAAGGAGTTAAAAAAAAACTCAATCTAAATTTAGCAGGAAAAGAAGAATAAAAACCAGAGCAGAAATAAATCAAATAGAGAATAGAAAACACAGAAAGAAAATCAATGGAACTAAGGTAGTTTTTTTAAAAGAATAAAGAAATTACAAAGAATTTACAAACCCTCAGCTAGACTAAGAAAAAAAGAGAGAAGACCTAAATATATAAAATCAAAAATGAGAATGGAGACATTACAACAGATGCTTCAGTAATTAAAACAGGGGATTGTAATGGACTATTATAAACAATTATATGCCAATAATTGGATTAACTTAGAGGGAATGGATAAATTCCTAGACTACTACAAGCTACCAAGGTTGAATAAAAAAGAAATAAAAAGTCTGAACAGACCAAAACCTAACAGAGATATTGAAGTAATAATTGGAAACCTTCCAGGAGAAGGCAGAGCAAGATGGCTAAATAGAAGCCTCCACAGACCATCCTTCCCCACAGGAACACCAAACTTAACAACTATTTACACATCAAAAGCACTTTATAAAAACCAAAAATCAGGTAGATGACAACAGTATCTGGTTGTAACTTTATATTGCTGAAAAAAGCACTAAATAGGGTAGAAAAAAAACAGACTTCAATTGCCTATGTCACTTCTCTCCCTTGAACCTTCTGAATGACATGGAGAGTCTGTGTATTGGGGGAGAAAGACTGCAGCAGTTGTGAGACTTTGCATTGAACTTAGTGCTGAAAACACTGGGCAGAACTCAGCTAAGGCTCACAAAATGAGCATTTATGTGACCGTAGCCAGAGGGGAATCGCCCATCCCAGTGGTCAGAATTTGAGTTTCCGCAAGCCTCAGTACTGTGAGCTAAAGTGCTCTGGGGTCCTAAATAAACTTAAAAAACAGTCTAGGACACAAGAACTGCAACTTTTTGGCAAGTCCTAATGCTATGCTGGGCTCAGAGCTAGTGGACTTTGGGAATATGCAATTGAGTGAAACAGCAGCCAGGGCAGCTAAGGGAGTGTTTGTTCTACCCCTCCTCTAACCGTAGGCAGCACAGCTTGCAGCTCCAAAAGAGACTCCTTCCTTCTGCTTAATAAGAAGAGAGGGAAGAGCAAAAAGGACTTTGTCTTGCAACTTAGATACCAGCTCAGACACTCAGTAAGACAGAGCATGAGTGATAATTTTGAGGCCCCCATTCCAGGCTCTAGCTTCTGGATGATACTTCTGACACATCCTAGGCCAGAAGGCAACCTGCTGCCTAGAAGGAAAGGACCCACCCCTGGTAGGGATCATCACTTGCTGACTAAAGGGCCTTTTGACCCTCAATAATCAGCAGTGGTAACCAGGTAGTAAACCCCATGGGCCTTGAGTGAGACTCTGAGATATGCTGGCTTCAAGTGTGACTTAGCACATTCACAATGGATGGCTATAAGGAGAGACTCCTTCTGCTTGAAAAAAGTAGAGGAAGTGAAGGGGACTTTGAATTACAGCTTAGCTACCACCTTGGCCACAGTGGGGTAGAGCACCAAGAAGGCTCTTGGGGTCCCCATTTCCAGGCCTTGGCCCTTGGACAACATGTCTGGACCTTACTGGAGCCAGAGGGGAGTCCACTGCCCTGCAGGGTGAGTCCCAGGCCTGGCAGCATTCACCAGAATCTGACTGAAGAGCCCTCAGGCCTTAGGTGAACATCAATTATAGCCTGACAGTATTATCTGTGGGCCTGTGGAAGTGGGGAGAGACTCGTCTGCCTGGGGTAAGAGGAGGGAAGAGTGGGAAGGACTTTGTCTTACGGTTTGGGTGCCAGCTCAGCTGCAGTAGAATAGAGCACCAGATAGATCTTAAGTTTTCTGACTCTAGGCTCTGGCTCCCAGACAGCATCTCTGGACTCACTCAGGGGCCAGGGGCACTTGTCACAGTAAAGGCAGGACACAAGTCTGGTTGGTTTTGCCACTGGTTGATTATAGAGCCAAAGGTCCTTGAGTAAACATAGGTGGTAGCACAGTAGTGGTTTACAATGGGTCTAGGGTGAGACCCAGTGTTGTATTGGCTTCGGATCTGACCAAGCACGATCTCGGTGGTGGTGGCCACAGGGGTGCTTTTGCCACATCGCAGCCAGCTGCAGGCAGCTCAGCACAGAGAGAAACTGTATGTTTGAGAGATAGTAAGGGAAAAGGACAAGTTTCTGCCTGTTAATCCATAGAATTCTTGCAGAGTTTATCCAAGACAATCAAAATGGTAGCTCTATGAGTCTCCAAGAACCACAGCATCATTGGGCTTGGGGTGTCCACTAATGCAGATAAAGCTGCAACGACCACAAATTTATATCACAACACCCAAGTCTCTTTGAATACTTGGAAAGCCTTCCTAAGAAGATAGGTACAAACAAGCCTAGACTGTGAAGATTCCAATAAATACCTCGTGCTTCAATGCCCAAACACTGAGAACATCCACAAGGATCAAGGTCATCCAGGAAAACTTGACCTTACCAAATGAACTAAAGGCACCAAGGACCAATCACAGAGAGACAGAGTTATATGAACTTTCTAACAGATAATTCAAAATAGCTGACTTGAGGAAACTCAAAGAAATTTAAGATAACAAAGAGAGAGAATTCAGAGTTCTATCAGATAAATTTAATAAAGAGATTTAAATAATTCAAAATAAATTCTAAAGATGAAAAGTGCAATTGACATGCTGGAGAGTGCCTGAGAGTCTCTTAATAGCAGAATTGATCAAACAGAGGAAAGAATTTGGGAGCTTGAAGACAGGTTATTTGAAAATACATAGTCACAAAGACAAAATATGTAAGAATAAAGCATGTCTATAAAATTTAGTTTAACTCAAATAAGACTACCTCAAAAAATTTTATAAACTTCCAAAAGTCAAGGATAAATAAATGATTCTACAAGCAGCAAGAGAAAAGAAACAAATAACATACAATGAAGCTACACTGTCTGGCTAAAAAATTTTCAGTGGAAACCTTACAGCCAGGAGAGACTGACATAATATACTTAAAGTGCTGTTGGAAAAAAAAAAAGACTTAGAATAATATATTCAGTGAAAAGATCCTTCAAACATGAAAGATAAATAAAATCTTTTCCAGACAAACAAAAGCTGATGGTGTTCATCAACGTCAGAAACAACAAAAAGTTACAAGGCAGAGGCATGACATTAAAATGAGTTTTTATTAGTTTTCTTTTACTTGTTTCTGAGTTTGTTTGTTTATGCAATCATTGGGAAGTTGTCATCAGTTTAAAATAATGAATTATAAGATAGTATTAAATATTTGCATGCCTCATGGTAACCTCAAGTCTAAAAACATACAATGAACACACACAAAAAATAAAAAAGAAGAGACTAAAACATACCACTGATATGGGAGTGCTGGAAAGGGAAGAGCTTGGTCCCTTTAAATGATACAGAAGGGGAGAAGATAAGTGCTGGGGAGAGGACGGCGTGGTCTCTTGCTAGGGCTCCACCCCTGCAGCCCTGGGTGAAGACAGTCACTCCTGCCTTCACACCCAAATGTTGCATTTTCCAAGACCACCTTGGCTCGCCATGCTCCCAACCTGGGCCTATAAAAACCCGAGACTCTAGCAGGCAGACATACAGAAGCAGCTGGACATCATGAGGAATACATTGGCAGAAGAAGACACAAGGAGCTGGTCATCAACACACCAGTGGAAGAGCAAGGCTGATAAGCACCGGCAGGCTGGCAGGCCATCAACTGGCAAAACAACGCAGAGTTTAACTGAGAGGCTCAACTCCAGGGGAAAACCATCTCCCTTCTGGCTCCCCCATCTGCTGACACCTACTCCTACTCAAGAAAACCTTGCACTGATTCTCCAAGCCCACGTGTGATCCGATTCTCCCAGTACACCAAGGCAAGAGACTCCAGGATACATCCTTTGATTTAGGATCCTATCCCTGTGATAAGGAGGCAGGTATAATTGAGTTGGTTGACACAAGCTGCCTATGGACCCCGTAACACATGCCCACTGGGGCTTCAGCTGAAACACCCCTAGACACTGCCATGGGTCCTAGCCCCACAGCCTGCCCATCTGTGTGCTCCCTTAGAGGTGTGAGCAGCAGAGCACTGAAGAAGCCAGCCACACTCCTGCGAGGGGGACAAGGGAATCTGTCCTGTTTCAACTGGGGGCTCATCTGGGATTGCAGAAGATGAGCGTGAGTGAATTTGAAACTGTTGGGTCTGCCTCTCTTCCAAAACCCTGCCATCTCTCTCTCTTTTCTGAGAGCAAGAGGCTCTGTTTCCCTTCACAGAGTTTTCAACCACCCTAACCTGCCAGTCAAAACCCCTAGACTTTGTCTCTTTTTCTCTGTCACATGGTTTAAAATGGCTCTTATCTCTTTCTTTATAATGTTAAGTTTTGCTACAGGCTGCGGCAATGTTACTAAGCAAAGAGAGCATTAGGCTCAGCCACCAAAGGTGCAAATCAGACCAGTTGTTCATAGAGCTGCCATGTATGCCTCCATCTTGACAGCCGCAGGCATGCAGGGCTCAGGACATCTCCTGCTACCCCTTCCCCTCCTAGCTTGGGTGCCTGGGTGGGCCCTCAGGACAAAGGCCGAGCCCAACAGCCATGAGGAGGAGGTGGGAGAAAGCTGTGGTGGTAGTCACGACCCCACAGGGCCAACAGATGAGCACTTCTTGCCTGCCAGTACAGTGGAACCTTTCCTCCTCTGGTCAAGGAATTCAACCCGGTCTGAACTGGGGAAAGATGTAAGGATTAGGGGGCCCCTTAAAGTGTTTTCTCCTTTTTCCTTTGCTCTGTGAGAGGCCTCCCCGCTGCTCTGTTTCTGATAGGGAAGTTAACAGAGGAATGGCCCCTGTTGGCTGAGAACTGCAAATTCAGCAGGGTGCATTTGAGATACTCTCTACGGATACAAACAGTCTTGAAAATACCTTTTCAGTCCCAAACTTGATTCCAAGCTTCAGGCTGGGGCCCTAGAAAAACAAAACAAAACAAAACACAACAAAAACAAGTCTGAGGGATCCAAAGCCAGGCAACAGGTACAATGTAAATGGGCTGGACCAATTCTCGCTAACTGAACGCCCCACTACACGGAAGGAGGCCACGCCTCATGGCATAAACAGGCCCAGGGAACTCAAAGTTTGCTAACAGCAGGGAGAAACGGAGGTGTAGGTGAGGGCGGTTAATTCCTACCTTCCAGGTTTTCCCTGCTTCATGGGTACATACCATATTTGTACCTATGACTGACACCTGCCAAGGTCACCAGGGCTCAGTCATAAGGGGTGGAGAGTGAAATGCGGACGTTCACTTTCTCTCTCCATCACACCGTGAGTTTTTGCTGAATGAATGAAGGAAGGGAATGAGGGACGCCTTTATTCCCTGTCTTTCAGAATGGGCAACCAGTTCTCCTCACCACTGCCAGCTTATACTCCTCTGGAGTGTATCCTGAACCACTGGGACTTCTTTGACACTCAGAATCTGGAAGAAAAGTGCTTCATAGCCCACTGCACCAAGGTTTGGCCAAATTATAATTTACAGGAAGGACTAGCTTGGCCTCAGGAAGGAACCAATCTGATACCAGATTGTATCAACCGTTTTGATACAATCTGGCAGTTGGAAGTTTTCTGTAGACCTGAGGACAGATGGTCTGAGGCGGCGTATGTACAGGCTTTCTATACCTTGCAAGGCAATACAGACCTTTACTGACAATGTAGGATTGATTCAGCCCTCCTGTTGCTGTCTCAGGGAAGGCTGCAAGGGGCAAGCACAGGGAAGTAAAGATAAGAGTCCCAAAGGCACCCCCAGGAGAGGAGCCAGCTCCCTCCAGCCCTGCTCCTCCAGGTACACCCAGACCTCCCTATCCAGCTTGAGCCTCTCACTTGCCCCCTCCTAGAAATCCTTGCTCTAAACAAGCCCCAGTCTCACTCCTGCCCCTCCAGCAGATGCCCAGTGAATTTTGGCCCAGTAAGGTCCAGGTCCCCTTCTCCCTACAGTACTTACAGCAAATTAAGGGAGATCTTCGAAAGTTTTCAGATGACCCTGATATATATAGAGAGGCTTTCAATAATTTGACCCAAATATTTGAACTCTCCTGGAGAGACATTATGTTACTTTTGAGTCAGACCTTGATGGACACTGAGAAACAGGCTGCTCCACAAGCAGCAGAGAATTGGGGATGACCGTTGCATCACATACAGTGTCAGGGAAGGGTGCAAATATTACCCAACTGGAAGAGAAGCAGTACCAGTGAATGACCCTAAATGGGATCCCAATGATGAGGTGGAAGATTAGAAGAGGAGTCACTTTCAGGCACGCATAATGGAAGGCCTACATAGAACTAGGACCAAGCATCTCAATTATACTAAGCTGCCCATGATTGACCAGGAAGTTGATGAAAATCCCACTGCCTTCCTGGAAAGACTAAGAGGGGCCTTGTTAAAGCACCTCTCTATCTCCTGATTCAGTCGAGGGACAACTAATCCTAGAGGATACATTTATTACTCAGGCACCCCCTGATATCAGGAGGAAGTTACAAAGATGGGCCCTGGGACCAAATAGTACATTAGAGGACCTCCTGAAAGTGGCTATGTCAATCTTTTATAATAGAGACAGGGAGGCCCAGGAAAGACAGCAAACACAGGAAAGAGATGGAAGTTTTAATGGCCACCAGGCAAGCCCACAAATCCAGGAATTCCCATGGTGCGCCTATTAACTGCTAAAAGATAGGGCAAGAATAGTTATCTCTCTTCTAAAGTTTAACCGCTCCCATACAAAGTTTAATTTCTTTCACCAGGGTGAAACAGCTAAGGGTACAATGCTGTTGTTAGTATATTGTACTTCTTGTCAATGTAATCTTTGGCATTAAATTATTTCCTTGTATAATACATATGTTTAACCCATGCATACTTAACCTTATAAAACTTGCTTTTTTCTCTCGCACCTAGAAGCCGTCGAACTCCACATGATCAGGCAACCAGACCATTGGACAATGGTTCTCCTTTGCTAGGAACCCTTAGACAGACTCTGGAAGGAATCTGGCTGCTATTTTCCCCAAAACAATGCCCTTGTCAGCAGGAAGCAGCTAAGACTGGTCATTCTGCATATTCTAATGTCAGTTTGATGTACCTCTTCAGAGGGGGGAAATGATACGGGAGTGCTGGGAAGGGAAGACAATGGTCCCTTTAAGTGATATGGAAAAGGGGGAAGGGAAGTGCATGGAGGGCATGGTCCCTGGCTAGGGCCCCACCCCCACAGACCTAGGTGAGGACAGACACTCCTGCTTCCGAGCCCAAATGTTGCATTTTCCAAGACCACCCTGGTCTGCCATGTCCCCATCCTGGGCCTATAAAAACCTGAGACCCTAGCGGGTACACACACTATCTGCTGGACATCATGAGAAACACATCGGCACAAGAAGACACAAGGAGCTGGTCATCAAGAACACACTGCTGGAAGAGCATGTCGAAAGGCACAGGCAGTCTAGCAGTCCATCAATTGCAGAAGGATGCGGAGTTTGTCTGGAGTGGTCGAAAAAGAGTCGGGCCGCTGAGCAGCCCAACTCCAGAGGAAAACCATCTCCCTTCTGGCTCCCCCATCGGCTGAGAGCTACTTCCACTCAATAAAACCTTGCACTCATTCTCCAAGCCCATGTGTGATCCAATTCTTCTGGTACACCAAGACAAGAAACCCCAGGATACAGAAATCTCTCCTTCTGAAAAGGAAAGGGGTCTAATTGAGCTACTGAGCTGGTTAACACAAACTGCCTATAGACAGCAAACTAAAAAAACACCCTGTAATACATGCCCACTGGGGCTTCAGCTGTAAACACTCACCCCTAGACACTGCCGGAGGTTAGGGGCGGGTCAGAGCCCCACAGCAAGGAATGAAGAAGACAAAACCATGAAACAACAACAAAACAAAGAACAAAATGACAGCTATTTTTTGTATTTTTAGTAGAGATGGGATTTCTCTATATTGCGCAGGCTGGTCATGAACTCCTGACCTCAGGTGATCAGCCTGCCTCAGTCTCCCAAAATGCTGGGATTACAGGCATGAGCCACCGCGCCTGGCCTGCTTTTTAACTTTTTGTTGTTTCTATTGTATCTTATTGTACTATTTTTTGAAAAGTTTTGTAGCTATTATTTTTTATCAGTTCGTCTTTTTGTCTTTCTACTTAAGATGTGAGTAGTTGGCTGGGTGCAGTGGCTTATCCCTGTAATCCTAGCACTTTGAGAGGCTGAGGCGTGCAGATTGCCTGAGCTCAGGAGGTCGAGAACAGCCTGGGCAACATAGTAGTCTCTACTAAAATACAAAAAAAAAAAAAAAAAAAAAAAAAAATTAGCTGAGCATAGTGGTGGCTGCCTGTAGTCCCAGCTACTCAGGAGGCTGAGGCAGGAGAATTGCTTGAACCTGGGAGGCGGAAGTTGTAGTGAGCAGAGATTGAGCCACTGCACTCCTGCCTCGATCCATATATTAAAAATAAATAAATAAATAAAAGTCAGTAGTTTACATGTGACTAACAGTATTATAATATTTTGTGTTTATCTGTGTATTTACAATTACTCATTAACATCCTTTTCTTTCTGCTTGAAAAACTCCCTTTAGCTTTTCTTGTAGGAGAGGTCTGACGCTGATGAACTCCCTCAGCTTTTGTTTGTCTGGGAAGGTTTTTATTTCTCTTTCATGTTTGAAGGATCTTTTCACCGGACATACTATTCCAGGGTAAAAAAAATAATTTAAGCACTTTAAATATGTCATGCCAGTCTCTCCTACCCTGTACGATTTCCACTGAAAAGCCTGTGGCCAGAAATATTGGAGCTTTATTGTATGTTAATTATTTTTAAATGTCTCGAGGTAGTCTCATTTGAGTTAGATCTGCTTGGTGTTCTATAACCTTGTACTTGAATACTGATATTTTTCTCTAAGTTTAGAAAGTTATTTGTTATCATTCCTTTGAATAAACTTTCTACCTCTATCTCTCCCTTGAGTGATACCCTATAAGAACAAGCAACCAAAGCAAAAATAAACAAATGGAATCATATCAAGGTGAAAAGCTTCTGCACAGCAAAGGCAACAATTAACAAAGTGAAGAGACAACCCACAGAATGGGAGAAATATTTGCAAACTGCCTATCTAACCAGAGATCAATAACCAGAATATTTAAAGAGCTCAAACAACTATATAGGAAAGAATCTACTAATCTTATTTATAAATGGGCAAACAGCTGAACAGACATTTCTCAAAACAAGACATACCTCAAAACAAGACATACAAATGGCAAACAGGCATATGAAAAGGTGCTCAACATCATTGCTCATCAGAGAAATGCAAATCAAAACTACAATTCAGTATTATCTCAGCCTAGTTAAAATGGCTTTTATCCAAAAGACAGGCAATAACAAGTGCTGGCAAGGATGTGAAGAAAAGCAAACCCTCGTACACTGTTAGTGGGAATGTAAATTAGCACAACCACTATGGAGAACAATTTGGCCATTCCCCAAAAAGCTAAGAACAGAGCTACCATATGACCCAGCAATCCTACTGCTAGGCATATACCCCAAATAAAGGAAATCAGTATATTGAAGAGATATCTGCACTCATGTTTTTTGCAGCAACATTCACAAAAGCCAAAATTTGGAAATAATTTGAATGTCCATCAACAGACAAATGGATAGAAAACATTTGTTATGTATACCTAATGGAGTACTAGTCAGCCAGTATAAACAATGAAATTCTGTCATTTGCAACAACATGAATGAAACTGGAGGTCATTATGTTAAGTAAAATAAACCAGTCACAGAAAGGCAAACTTCACATGTTTCACTTATTTGTGGGAGACAAAGATTGAAACAATTGAACTCATGAAGATAGAGAGCAGAAGGATGGTTATCAGAGGCTGGGAAAGGCAGTGGAGGTTGGGGGAAATGGGAATGTTTAATGTGTACAAAAACTAGGATGAATAAGATCTAGCATTTGATCACACAACGGGTGACTGTAGTCAATTTAATTGTACACCTCAAAAGAACTAAAAAGGTATAATTGAATTGTTTATAACACAAAGGTTAAATTATTGAGGTCATAGATACCCCGTTTACCTTGATGTGATTATTACACATTGTATGTTTGTTTCAAAATATCTCATATGTAAATATATACACTTACCATGTACCCACACAAAAAAGTAAAAAGGAAAAACAAACAAGCTAAAAACAAAGAAACTTTCCAACAAAGAGAAGTCCAAGACCGGATGGCTTCATGGCTAAATTCTAGCAAACTTTGAAAGACAAATGTCAATACTTCTTAAACTCTTCAAAAAACAAACGGGGAGGGATTACCTTGTGACATATTTTATGAGGCTAGCCTCAGCTTTCTACCTAAGCCAGAAAAACATATCACAAGAAAAGAAAACTACGGGCTAGTATCTCTAGTAAAACTTGATACAAAAATTCTTAATAAAATATTAGTAAATAAAATTTAAAACACAACAAAATGATTATACATCAAGATCAAGTGGAATTTATCTGTGGAATTCAAGGCTGCTTTAACATATGTCAATTAAGCAATATGATGCATACATTGACAGACTGAAGAACAAAAAAAAAATGTGATCATCTAAATTGACACTGAAAAGTATTCTACAAAGTTCATCCTTTTTTGATAAAAACGCTCAACACTTTAGATGTAGAAGAAAAATATCTCATCATAATGAAAGTCATTTATTAAAAACTCACACATCACTACATCATAATCAATGGAAGGAAACTGAAAACTTTTCCTCTAAAATGTGGTTTAAGGCAAGGACACACACTCTTCCCACTTCTATTGTACTAGAAGTATCAGCAAGAAAAATCAGACAAGAAAAAGTAATACAAGGAATTCAAATAGAAAAGAAAGATATAAAATTATCTCTATTTGACAGTTTCATCATTTTAACATTTTCTTTCTTGTTTATTCCTACTCTCACCTCATTCTTATGTTTTTGTTTTTCTGGAAATCAATAAAATTAATGTAGGACATACAGGTTCTCACATTTTTGTACTTTATATTTTTTATCAAGTATAAAAATCAATTTGTCTTTTATTTATATTATTTCTGTTCTTCAGCAATTTTTAAGTATAAAATATCTTTTTAAAAATGTTTAGTAATACATTTTTTAACTTTTCCTTTGCAGAAGTGACTTTTGTGTTTGATCATGCAAAATTACTCTGAAAAATTTTGGAGGTTCATAATTTCTGAAGTTCTCTTTTTGTATCTCAGATTTTTTTTTAATTGAATTATTTTTTTTCTGTTTTAAAACTTATTTTTATTTACCACTGATGATAAATTATATATTATATTAGAGATATAGATGAATAAAATTCTTAAGTTTTTAGTAAAGATTGATCAGCAGGCAAGGCAGTTCTCATAAACATCACCACATTTGCCAATATTTTTAGGAGACATCATGAAAATTAGTGGGTTTGCAAGTATTTTATATATTGCATAATTAAATATTCAAAAGTATGTATAAAATCATTACTCTTCTATACATTAAATAAAATTATCAGGAGAATTTGACAAGAAAAGGCAGGTAGCTAATAAAATTTTTTTAAAAAGCAGCAGTCTAAGTGCATAAATAAGAGAGTTTTGCCCTGGATTTTTTTGGTCTGTTTAAAAATAGTTTGATTTCAGAAGAACTGACTGAAATATGGTATCCATAACAAAGTCTAGACATGCACTGCTCCAATATCGACCCCACTCTAGCCTTCACTAAAGTATTTGATTTTGCCACCAAATCTTATTACTAACAATTAAAGTGCACAAAGTTTCCATTACCTCATTTATCTGTTCCAGTCTGCCTTTCCTTAAGCACTAGCTATTTTGTTTGCAATGTTTTCCAAAAATCAAAAAATCAAAATGCTACATAATTTTTAGAGAAGCAAAATTATTTTAAAATTATGTAATATTTGAGTCAAAGTTTTGGTATTTCTTCAAAAATCACTTTACTTTTGCATATTATTACATTTTCCTTCTTTATATAGATAAATAAAGGCCTTAAGGCAGACTCAGCCATAATACTTGCAAGAAGGTTGGGTACAAATGGCAGCCCACATACCATATGTCTAGAGACTTAAAAGTTACCAGATTGTGAAATAAAGTATAATCTATGCTTCTACTTTGTCGAATGTACCTTTATAAACTCTTGAAAATCCAAGTTTGAATTTGAAAATATTGAACTCCCTTTATTGCCAGGGTGAAATATAGCACCATGGACAGTGCCAGTCCTGGCCTCCCTCTCACAATTGCCTCCCTCCCTGACTCTGCACTACAGGGATCTGGAGAGCATGCAGGTGAACACAGCTGCCCACATGGTCAAGTTTTGTTTATCCATACTGTAAACAAGTCATCTTGGCCTCTATCTACAGGGACAGAACTAGAGTAAGAGCCCATGCAGACACTGATATTGGTCTCAGAACAATTGTGACTCAGAATTTCATTCTCAGGCACCCACAGCCTGATCTACAAAGTGGAGGCATGAACTCTAAGTGGGAGCATTTTCTTGGCCCATGGGGAGAGGCATATATGAAAATGAGATCCAGTAAAGCTTCAGAAAAAAGTGGCCCAATATATTTGACCCTTTTGCCAGGTTTTAAGGGCATCAGTGCCTGATCATGTGGGGAATTAGCTTAATGAAGTGGTAACCTCCAAGTACAATACCAGGTGAACTATATCTCAGATGTCACTGGAACTGAATCACTCACAAACCAATTTAAGGTGGTTGAAACACACAGCTTAACAAATTAAATTGAAATGGATTAAGAGAAGCAGGAGAAAGATGCTATAGAGGGAAATATACTTATGATAAGGCACACATTTGTGGAAGGATCACACCACTTGAATCCTGAGTTATGCAACATTCATATGTAATTTCTCTATTTCCTATCTATCTATTTGTTTCTTCCCTCCCCTTTACCCTCACTGTACCATTCTCCACAGATGGTTTGGTTATAAGGACCAGAGTCAAGGTTTGATCACAGGAACTCCAACAGATGGAAAATGTGTAGGCCAATGATACACACACATCTTATATTAGAATGATACATTAAAATATGCTTTGCCAATAGCTGTAGCTTGCCAATTATCCTGCTGAACAGCTACAAGTTTTATCTGTATTTTTTGGGCTGAGCACATATGGGCAGAGTGGGACCATACCGAGCGTCATCAATGGGTGGCCAATTTAGGAGAAATATAGCTGTCAGCCCAGAAATGCCATAATCATAATGTTTTCATGTATTTCTATCTAAAAGTGATACTCTTGTTTATTTCATCAAATTATCTATATACTGTTACTATCTTTATTGTTTCCTACATCTAACTTACTTTACATTTAGCCTATCTTAGGGTATCTAAATCTTTCGTGTTATTTACTCATCCTTTATGTATACCTAATGTATCCTATTAATGTATCAGTAGTCTATGAACAAATAGGTTATTTATTATCTGTGTTTAACTTGTCTTATGAATTTTATCTTTCCTATTTTTTCTTATTCTTTATAACAAAATTAAATATTTCCAAAAGGTACAGCAAACTCACATTATGTCTTAAAGTTTCCATCTCCTTTGCTGTTTCATCTCCTTTGCTGTTACTGGTCTAAATGAAAAAATCATTCATTTTGTCATATGAGTAAATTAATAAGCTATTTTCTTTTGAAAACACCCCATAGCAGATATCACAAGTTAACGTGAAACAGAGTCTAAAAGTGCTTTAAAAGTAGGGATTAAATATTTTCTTCTTCCTCATTCTACTTCTGCCAATCCTTTGACTTTTTCCATATATTCTGAAATGTTCCATTGAGAAAATATAAATTTAAAAAAGGAAGAACAAGGCCGGGCACAGTGGCTCATGCCTGTAATCCCAGCACTTTGGGAGGCCGAGGTGGGCAGATCATGAGATCAGGAGATCAAGACCATCCTGGCTAACATGGTGAAACCCCGTCTCTACTAAAAATACAAAAAATTAGCTGGGCATGGTGGCGGGCACCTGTAGTCCCAGCTGCTCAGGAGGCTGAGGGAGGAGAATCACTTGAACCTGGGACCACAGGTTTCAGTGAGCTGAGATCGCGCCACTGCACTCCAGCCTGGGCTACAGAGCGAGACTCTGTCTCAAAAAAAAAAAGAAAAAGAAAAAAGAAAAAAATATATATCAAGCTTAGATCTGTTGCTATGTGTTAGCAAAGGTCAAATTTCAGCAGATTAGAAAGGTTTCCAATCAATGAGTCAAGGTAGATTTAATATGAAATGTGTTTACTGTTCCCTTTGTCCATCAATTGGGATAAGGAGAATTGTATGTTCAATTTATCAGTGGTTAGCGTTTCCATGGTTGTAATATAATTTGTCACATGCTTTTATTCTAAATACTTATCAGAGTCTATTAAATATCATTCCTTTCAGCTTTACCTTTCAACTAGATGTGAACAAATATCTTTTGAATATTTAGCAGCTTCTGTTTTCCAAAAGATCCTTATTATTCCATATTTAGCTAAAGCTGTTCACGCAATGAATGTCTGCAATTTAGAGCTAGACACCCAGCAACAAAATGCTACATGAACTTCCTCCATTTTTTGCTGCAAGAAATTAATTTTAAGGAGAGTTTTGCAATTATTCTTATACAGTTTTATACAATTAATTGGTCTGAATAATTTACATACAGGTGACTCTTCATTAGATTCTGATTTGCATTAATTTACACCCATATATGTTCACATGCAAATAAGCTATTGTATAATTATTCATGTGGTAGGAAATGGCAATATCAAGTTTCATTAGTATAATTAGAATCAATTCAATAGCAGATGTTAGTGCCTTCCTTCCTTATTTAGTTTATTTCTTTTCTATGTATTTCTAGGGTAGAGAATTACTAAACTAATTCTACTCCACATTTTATAGCCCATCATCAGCTTTGGGTCTTTAAAGCCTAATATTTTGTTTTGT
Organism: Homo sapiens; assembly: GCF_000001405.40. Classification (NCBI taxonomy): domain Eukaryota; kingdom Metazoa; phylum Chordata; class Mammalia; order Primates; family Hominidae; genus Homo; species Homo sapiens. The sequence continues at coordinate 86,196,199 of NC_000013.11, forward strand.
TGGAAAAGTATATGTTATGGGTCCTGGAAATACAGCAGTGACAAAACCACCATATTCCTTGTGGTGATTTTAGTGAACATGAGAGAATCACGTACGTGAATTTTAACCTATGCCAGTCATCAATAAGCACTACAGAGGAAACCAAACAGGGTAAGGGGATCCAAAATGCTGGGGCAGGGAAAAAGTGAACTGTGGTCAGGAAATGACTCATGATAAGCTAAGATATGTAGAATAGAGAGTGCCAAAAACATGAGGATATGTGGAAAGAGCGAGAATTAAAATAATAGTAATAACGTTAAAGGAGAGAACCTGATTGGTATCCAGCAAAGAGGCTAGTGTGGTTGACATATCAACTATCAAGGTAGAGTGTTAGAAGATGAATCCATAAAAATGAGGGTAAGGATCATGGAGAAACATTAGCCCCTTTAACTACTGTGGATTTTATTTCCATTCAAAGGGGGAAATGTTGTAGGAATTCAAACAGAGAGAAGACATGATCTGACCTGAGGTTTTCGGTGGATCATTTGGCTGCATTGTGATGAAAAGACCATAGGTAAGGCAGGACAGCAGCAAATATACTAGTTGGGCACATTGACAAAAATCTAGGTGAGGTGCTGCAGTATTTGGAGCAGCATTACAGCAGTAGAGAAGCAGTTTGGGACTTACTATGTACATGGAATATGGCCTCAGATGACCTGGCTTCTAAATCTGGTTCATGAGCACAGTGATATGATATTGAAAAATTTATGTAATCTCTCTTAGGCTCAGTAACTTCATCCATAAGTGAGGCCTATATATGTAAACATGAGGTAATCACAGTAAAGTGCAAGACACAATACTGAGTGTAGAATAAAATTTGAATAATATATTAAGTTTATTTAATGTCAGATAGAGAAAATAGATTAAAATGGTGAGAAAGGAAATATAATAAATGTACTAAAAATGCTGGATTGCAAATTTTTAAGAGGGCACATTTTGTGGTATAAAAATTGTTCAATAATAAAAGGAAACAAAAATGAACCACAGTAATTTTCTGAATATACATTTTTGTATACATCTTTTGGAGTTATATTAATGTTTTACATACTTATGTAAATCATAAAAGCAAAAGAAAAAACTCTAAATGGAATATAAATAGAAACAAATTACCATATTTTAAATAAATAACACAACTACGCCACCCAGAACTAGGGAAAAGGAATTAATTTAGAAATTTTGGAATATAGCATTTTGGCCATCCAAACTCAGGCTAATGCCGAAAGGAATATAAACAAATGTAGTTCAATTAGTACATTTGTTACTCAGAGTGTGTTATCTAATAATTTTGAAACTATTTGTATATTCTAGGATTGAATGAATAATTAAATATACCAGGGCTAAGTAAATAATAAATATGTTGGAGGTATCATTATGCAATCTTGTTAAGACAAGCAAAATAGATTTAAATGTATAAACGTGTATTAAGAGGATATCAGAATTAAGCAATAGATTATTTTAACTATTAGTCTTATGTTTTCAATTATATTTTATTTTTCATGACCTATATCTGTCCCATTCCTCTTAAAATTCAGCTGTAATTTTTATAACATAAAATCACATAACAATAACATGTTTGATGACTATTCTGCCACAAGTCTCTTTGTTATATAACTCAATTTTTCATTTCTATTCACTCCAAAACATAAGCAATCTTGATAATATATAACAAGATAGCAAATATGAAGTAGATTTCAGCTTTAAATTTTGTACTGTGAATCACATGAAGAAATACTGATCCAATCATAATAATCCACACAAGTTTTCAAAAATTAACTTTTATGAAATTATAGTTTTATGGGTTTTATTCATTGTGTAAATAATAAATCATACACGAAGAATATATTATGATCTGTGATTTAAGGGACTATATCATGAAGTCAAAATAATTAAAGACATATAAAAAATTAAATATCCAAATTATAAAAACAAACATCAACATTCAAGAGCTATAGAAACTGCTACCTCATAGAACTTTCTGTCTTCTTCCTGGGTCTCAGTATAAATAGTGCTTTGACATAAAATATTTCCTGATCTGTCTATATGACATAGGCATTCTTAAACATGTCACTCTCTACTTTTAATATTTAAATTAATGACATTTACCATGGTATTTTGGGAAAAATAGGAGGGGAGAGTAAAATATACTGGTATTTGCATATTATTGCAAAAATAAATCACATAGGATAAAGTATAGCCTAACAAGCTTGGTTATCTAGAGAAAATGGAAAGAAATGGGGTGAAAATGATAAAAGTAATGGGAAGAAACATCACTTTTCTGACTGGCCCTTTTTATATAATTCTGAACTAACTTTGACTTGGTTACCTGTCAAATACAAGCAATTGGATATTTGTGTCCCCCCAAAATTTGTATGTTGAATTTGTCATTTCAATATGATGGTATTTGGTGGTGGGGCTTTTGAGTGTAATTAAGTCATGAGGGTGGAGCCCTTAGGAATGGGATTTGTACCCTTATAAGAATAAGCTATATAAAGTCCTAGCTACTCAGAAGGCCGAGGCAGGAGAATTCTTGAGTCCAGGAGTTTGGCTGGACAACATAGCAAGTCCCTTCTCAAAGAAAAAGGAAAATAAATAAAAGCCACAGAACTAGGTAGCTCTCTTTTTACCATTATAAGACACAACTGGAAATCAGCATTCTGCAGTTCAGAAAAGGGTCCTCATCAGAACCTTACAGTGCTGCCACCTTAATCTCGGACTTCCAGCTTCCAGAACTTTGATAAATAATGCTGCTTATAAGCCACCCAATCCATGGTACATTGTGTGGCACCTGAACTAAGACAGTAACATTTCAAATACTCAAATAAAGAAAATAACTGTAATAAACAAGAATGGGGAAACAATCCTTAAAATCATATTGTAAGTGAGTTACATAACATCAATTATGGACAGATGAAATAAAGCATAATATTGAATTATTAACTATATATATAGTTAAATAAATACATAACATAACTACACCACACAAAAGTGGGGAAAATGAATTAACTTAGAAATTTTGGAATATAGCATTTTGGCCATCCAAATATATATTGGCCATATTGATATATATTATATATAATATTCCTGAGGATATCAGCACTCTAATTGATAGGCTTTTGTTAATTTTTCACAGACTCATCATTTATAGAATTTAAAACTATGATATGTATATTCAAGGACACACAAGTAAATATATATTGGATAATTTTTTTATTAACAGAGAAAATAAATATAGATATGGAAAAGAAGAAAGGATGAATTCTGCCATTTTGTTTGAAATAAGATCATAGTGAAATCATGATTTTAAATGTAGAAATCTCTACTCTGTGTGTTTGCATATGTGCATATGTGTATGAGTGTGAGTGTGCACACATACATACACGTGCGCGTAGGTATGAATGGCTGTGAATGCATGCCTCTGTTTCCTATCTCTGTCCATTAAGATGCCCAAGAAGTAATGCCACCCCGAAAGCAATGAGCACAATTAGCACACAGCCTTGGGTTTAAATATTATTCTTTTTTTTTTTACCCCCAAGACAGAGTCTTGCTCTGTCACCCAGGCTGGAGTGCAGTGGTGCGATCTGGGCTCACTCCAACCTCTGCCTCCCGAGTTCAAGCAATTCTCCTGCCTCAGCCTCCTGAGTAGCTGGGATTACAGGCACCTGCCAACATACCCGGCTAATTTTTGTATTTTTAGAAGAAGTTGGGTTTCACCATACTGGCCAGGCCGGTCTCAAACTCCTGACCTCGTGATCCGCCCACCTCAGCCTCCCAAAGTGCTGAGATTACAGGTGATAGCCACCGTGCCAGGCCTAATTATCATTCTTTACAAAGAGAAACCAGTGTCCTTGGAGAAACAATTGCTTCCATTGCTGGGAAATATATGTACAAAATGAACCTGAAACATCTTGTGGTGGTAGACAACAGAGATGTACTCAAAGAACAATGGAGACATGTATAAAAGAAAATGAGCCGTCTTAAAGGGACTACCAATAATAGAAAAAGGTTATGACCTAGTGAATGAAATAAGAAACTATTAAACACACTGATGTAAAAAAGAAATGCATACATAGATATATTAATACTGAAATAAATGGTGAAACAGGAATAGTACTCTCTTATGACAGAAAAGCTCTCTAAACCATGTAGAAGTAATATGGGATTAGAAAGAAAGTGTCAAAGAATAGTTACACAAATTATTGCATCTAAAATCATTAATAAGTTCTAAAACTTTACACATTCTTTGTGGTTTCTCCTTTATCATATGTCAATTTAATATACACATATAAATAAATAACATTTATATATACACATGCTAAATATGTGTTTAAGCTATCCTTTCTTATAAAATCTTTTGGTCATGAACCACAGACTATTTTTTATTACTTCTGCTTTGGTTACATTAATATCTGTAAGGATGAGTACACTTTTTTAATCCTTTCATTTATTTCTCTTTATCTCTTCCTCTCTCATTTTTTTCTTTCTCAAATTATCTTCAAATTTCTTTCTGATTTTTTAAGCACGTGTATGATATATAAAATTTCTAAGAACTTATTTACTTACAGTATTTTTATAGAATTCTATTCTTTTCTTGCACACGCCCAATATTTGTGGATATTAAGTATACAGTGAATTAAGTTTTTAAAGTTTTCACCTCATTTCTGAATTTGCTTTGCTTTCTTCTTTCATGTTTTTTATTCTTTTGTTTTTTGAGTGTATATTTTTTCCAGCTTTCTTATGTTAAATAATTAATTTTGATGATTCATTGCATGAAGAATAAGAAATAATAGTTTATTTATACAATCAGACTGTCTTACCGAAATGTAATTATTAATTCAAAATAATAATTACTGTACAATGAGGAAACCCAGTGGGTCATCATATTATCCAGGTAATCAAAATAAACATGATGGAGCAAATCAGTAACTTTTGCCTGAGAAGACCACACATTTCTGCAGTAAACCTGCCAACTTGAATAACCTCATTTTAGTTATGATAAAATATCAAATTGAGGAGTGTTCTATGAAATGTCTTCAGAGAAAAATAATATAAGATGGAAGAGTGAACTTGTAGACAATATCTAAAAAGCATAAATAATAAAAAAATGAGTGAACTATTGTGAAACTAAACTATTCTGATTGACAAAAAACTCTATAGACAAAATTAACCAATTTAGGATAGTTTAAAGATTATATCTAGATAATCTTATACTGGGAGTTAATATTTGAAATATTCAGCAAATTACTGACTGTAAGAATGAATATACGGAAGCCTGTTAGAAAAATTATCTAAGCATAACAACAAGTAGATTATAGACAAAATAGGCTGGTCCCTGAAAGGAATGTACAAATGTATTTGAACTGACATTGTAGGACTGACTTCCTAGTGTAATTCTAACACATTTCATTAGTAGATAGCCACTTTTCATACTCAATAGTTGAGGTCCTCTACGTACCTATCATTAGATGATTGCAGGTGCAAAATGTAGTTTGTATATACTGTGGACAAACAATGCAAGAGTCAGAAACAACCCATTAGATGTAGTTACAGTTACACAGAGAGTTCTTATAAACAAATGGTTGGCTGGAAATATATATCTATATATTTATATATATAGATATATAGATATATATTTATATATATAGATATATAGATATATATTGATATATAGATATATAGATATATATTCATATATATTGATATATACATATATAGATATATAGATACATATTTATATATATTGATATATAGATACATAGATATATATTTATATATATTGATATATAGATATATAGACATATATTGATATATTGATATGTAGATATATATTTATATATAGTGATATATTGATATATAGATATATATTCATATATATAGATATACAGATATCTAGATATATATAGATATACAGATATCTAGATATATATTTATATACAGATATCTAGATATATATTTATATATAGATATCTAGATATATATTTATATATAGATATCTAGATATATATTTATATATAGATATCTAGATATATATTTATATATATTGATATATATAGATATATATAGATATATAAATATATAGATATATATTTATATATGTTTCCATATAGATATATACTTATATATATTTATATATGTTTATATATAGATATATATCTATATATGTTTATATATAGATATATATCTATATGTTTATATATAGATATATATCTATATATGTTTATATATAGATATATATATGTTTATATATAGATATATATCTATATAAGTTTATATATAGATATATATCTATATAAGTTTATATATAGATATATATCTATATAAGTTTATATATAGATATATATCTATATATTTATATATAGATATATATCTATATATTTATATATAGATATATATCTATATATGTATATATAGATATATATCTATGTATTTATATATAGATATATATCTATATATTTATATATAGATATATATCTATATATGTATATATAGATATATATCTATGTATGTTTATATATAGATATATATCTATATATGTTTATATATAGATATATATCTATATATGTTTATATAGATATATATGTATATATGTTTATATATTTTATATATATTTATATAAAGATATATATTTATATATTATATATACATATTTATATAAAGATATATATTTATATATTATATATATATTTATATAAAGATATATATTTATATATAATATATATTTATATTATATATAGATATTTATATA